>NC_000012.12:116096491-116248006 GCF_000001405.40 Homo sapiens
CAATCTTTAATATTGAATATAAATTTAATAATATAGTATTTAAGAACACTGTGATCCAGGATCTATTTGAGTATATCTAAACTACTAACATTATTAGGAAATAAATAAATCAATAAGCTGTTCACCCACCCACAAGGCCAAAGAAACCAAAAAGCCAAGAGCATTCTAAAGGCTCACCTTTTGTTGACTGGCTTTTCATCCTTTTCGTAGGGTCGGACAAACCATTTCCCAATCCTAACGAAGTTCTTATCCATTAGGCACCTAAAATAATTACATCAAGAATTACTTTTATAGTATCAGTAACAAATTAGTAAGTCGCTGAAGCAATACACCAGATGAGATATATCACCAAAAATAAAAACACCACCAATTAAACTATCAAAATGTTTTATCACTTAAAATTTTTACGTTATACTTTCCGAAAGAACTCTGGGACACTGGGCACAGATTCTTATGCCCACGTAAAAAAGAAAATGTAAACAAAAGTAAGCAAAATAAATTGATTGATGTATTTCTAAAACATCTTACGCTTCAGAATTACTTCAAATAAAATCACACTTCTGCATAATTTCAATTCTTGCATCATCAAGAATGTTAGGAATACAGCATTTCTTAAGAGAACTTCAGAGATATTCATCCAAGCCACTAACACCCATCTTTCAAGTTTTTTTTTTTTGAGACAGAGTCTCTGTTGCCTAGGCTGGAGGGCAGTGGTGCAATCTTGGCTCACTGCAGCCGCCACCCCCCAGGTTCAAGTGATTCTCCTGTCTCAATCTCCCAGGTAGCTGGGATTATGGGCGTGCACCACCATGTCTGGCTAATTTTTGTACTTTTAATAGAGACGGGGTCTCACCATGTTGGCCAGGCTGATCTCGAATTCCTGGCCTCAAGTGATCCACCCGCCTCAGCCTCCCAAAGTGCTGGGATTATAGGTGTGAGCCATCATGCCCAGCCCATCTTGCAAGTTTTAATGCTGGCTTTTTAAATTTTTATTTTTTATTTTTTGGCTTTGCATGTGATAGGCAATACTTTTTACGTGATGAGGATCTCAGTGACAAAAATACAGCACAGCTTTATCTTAGGTATTTTCTTTTTGTAGGCACAATAAAGGACTTGATTATGGCTTTGCAAGAAACAAGGAATTGCAATTGTGTCTTCAATAATGAATATCTGCTTTATTCATATACAAGCAGTGGCCCACTTCTGTTTCCATGCCACTTGTGTATGTCATTTTAATGTCAAATTACAAGGTATTCTAACATGTTTTTTTGAAGACATGTTAAATGGCAAGTGAACCCAACTCTTGTAACAACAATAACATACACAATTCAGCTGAACTGACAACAACACAGAGTTATGATCAAGTTCACTCATGTGCAGGCAAATGACAACTGTATCTTAACTGCCACCTGGCCAACTGCGGATGCCATGGATTGTAAGGAGTATAACTGATTTTAAAAACATAAAAATGAGGCTGGGTGGGTGGCTCATGCCGGTAATCCCAGCACTTTGGGAAGCCGAGGCGGGCAGATCACCTGAGGTCAGGAGTTCGAGACTAGCCTGGCTAACATGGTCAAACCCCGTTTCTACTAAAAATACAAAAAATTAGCTGGGCGTGGTGGTGCGCGCCTGTAATCCCAGCTACTCGGGAGGCTGAAGGAGGAGAATCACTTGAACCCGGGAGGCAGAGGTTGCAGTGATCTGAGATCACGCCATTGCACTCCAGCCTGGGCAACAAGAGCGAAACTCCATCTCAAAAAAAATAAATAAATATAAAAATAAAAACAAAAACATAAAAATGTGGGGGGGAAATGGGGAAAATGTGCACATTTGGAACTACTGAAATACAGTTATCTCTAACAGTATTCAGTGAAATTCTACATATTTTGTAAGAAAAGATGTCAGAACACTGAATGTAATTCTTCTATACAGGGTCCTACCTACCAGCAAAAGAGTTATATAGCAATTCTTTATTCCATATTGAGGCAATTCTGCACATGGCTTTTGCCTCTGTAATTTCCACACCATCAAAGAGGATGGAAACAATTCAAGCCCTCACCCAACTCATTACAGGTTAGATGGGTTAGTGAATGGTAATAGTTTCTGATGACCACAATGGAACTCCTTTTGGGCAGTCAATTCGGAGAACCAATGTACCAAAAAGTCACTGGGCTCCACTGGTTTTACTTAGAAAATAAATTTCTACTGCGATCTTCCATTGTTCACAATGAAGAAAATCATTTTCAGCGTAACCAAATCTCTTTTCCTAAGCTTATAAGTTTAAAAAAAAATGCTTTTTAGGGGTAAGGACTGTGACTCCATTAAATTTAGAAAATAGGAAATATGGCACACCCACCCAAGGAGGAAGTATTCAAGAAGCAAAACTGAAAAAGCATCTCCACAGTTTATTCACCAGCTAACAGACTTAATTATATTTTTATTAGAGTACATATAAACATATTTCCACTAGAACTCTAGTGTTTAATACCAAGTTTCTGCAATAATATTATCAATAACTGCTACCAGAATCACTATACCACCACTACCTGGTTGATTACCAGGCACAGTACCTTATTTAACTCTTGTAGCAGTAATAAAAGATGAGTGTTACAATGGCAATTTTTGTAGATGAAGAAGCTGAGGCACAGTGAGAATGTCATCCAGATAATAAACAGCAGAGCTGCACACAAGCCCAGGTATATCTGATCACAGAGCCAGGACATTTAATAATTAGCATATACCAACTCTCATGCTGTCACATTTTCCCAATTCTTTCCTTATTTCTCAAGTCCAAATGTACCTTGTAAATTACAGTCTATTTAACGTGATAATGCTTCTTTAGTCTCCAAAAGCCATTGTTACATTGAAGGTATATCTTAAAATTGATAATGCTGAGAATAAAAGCAATACGGCACGTAACAGGTATGGAGTCACGTCAAACACTGAACAGTCTTCCAGTAACACACATCCTCACTTAGTAAATACTGTTTTAAAAAATATTCATTTCCTCATGTCTTGAAGGTCAGAATTCAAAACAACCATTTATTCAGTAACAAATCATAAATTTACAGTGTACAGAAAGAAAAATCCAAGGCTACAGAGAGTATAATATGAAATAAAAGCAGATAAAATATCTGTGACTAAAGAGGACAATGTCTGAAAGTTTATTTGTTCTTCTATCAAGTAAAAGTCACAAATTCTATATGCTGGACTTCATTCCAGAAAAAACAAACAAGGTCTGGAGGGTAGAAGAGCAGTGCACAGTCAAGACCACTCAAGGACAAAAGCAAAAGGCAAAAAGGCTGATGAAAACTCTGAGAGTCCAACACTGCGTGAATAGAGCTCCTTGAGTTCCCACTGCAGGTCATATTTCTTCGTCAGGCAATGTCATCAAAAGGTTGTTACACACAAAACAGCCATGGAAAATACCGATGCTTCAAGCTGAAACCATGTGTTTCCAAATAAGAGTCACAAATAACTTAGATGATTTTTCATTTGCTAATGAGTTTCTCTGTGATCAATGATTTCCCACACAATGAAAGGAAAACATGACAGCAGAGAATTGCATGAAGTAGTGTTTTTACTCAGTTTTTTAAGTACTGGGACAGAGATGGGAGATACACACACAGTCCCTCCAAGATTAGGCAGTACAGAAGTATTTCCACATGGTTATAGGAGGAAATGAGAGAGAAGGTGTGCCTTTTCTAAGGAAGACCTAATTGATACAAGGGAATATGCTGACTCAACAGTAGCCTATATAGAGGCACAAAGTCCTTGGTTCTCAAACGTTTTTGGGTCATGGATCTATAGCTTTAAAAAAAAATTGGCTGGGCACAGTGGCTCACCCCTGTAATCCCAGCACTTTGGGAGGCCGAGATGGGTGGATCACCTGAGGTCAGGAGTTTGAGACCAGCCTGGCCAACATGGTAAAGCCCCGTCTCTACTAAAAATACAAAAATTTACCCGGGTGTTGTGGTGGGCACCTGTAATCCCACCTACTCGGGAGGCTGGAGCAAGAGAATCGCTTGAACCCAGGAGGTAGAGACAGCAGTGAGCCAAGATCACACCATTGCATTCTGGCCTGGGTGAAAAGAGAGACTCCGTCTCAAAAAAAAAAAAAAAAAAAAAAAATTAATCAGCCAGGCATGGTGGCTCAGGCCTGTAATCCCAGCACTCTGGGGAGCCAAAGTGGAAGAACAGCTTGAGGCCAGGAGTTTGACACCAGACAACATAGTGGAACCCTGTATCTACAAAAAATTACAAAAATTAGCTGGGTGTGGTCATGCACACCTGTAGTCCCAGCTACTCAGGACTCAGGGAGCTGAAGTGGACAGATCACTGGAGCCCAGGAGGTCGAGGCTGCAATGAGCTGTGATGGCACCCCTGCACCCCAGCCTGGATGACAGAGTGAGATCCTGTCTCAAAAACAAAACAACAACAACAAAAATTAATGAAAGCCACTATAAATTCTGTCCTCAGAAAAAATGTGTGGAAGAGCAAAACATCGCACACAATTACACAGGGCTGGTCAACTACGAAGCATGTCCTTGGCTCTGAATTTCCATATTAAATACTACCACTAATGTCTATTAACCCTGCTTTGGCCAGAAATCTCTTTCTTCTCCCTTCTCCTCTAATTTGAATTCTATTCATTCTTTCTGTCCCGATCAAGCCTGCACACTACTCTAACATCTACAAATCAGCACTTTCACCACTGAGTTGTAATGATTAAGTTCTACAGCTTTATTCCCCAATAAAACTATCAGTTCTTTGGGAGTACAGACGGTGTGTGTCTGTCTTATCCACTGATAATATTCAACAAATATTTAAGTGCCCACTATGTAACATGCTTAAATGTATGCTCTATATTGGGAGGTGCTCAATAAATATATGAGAAATGAATGCCATATACCAAGGAGTATTTTCCTATTCATAATGTAATGCTGGCATTTTTCTTGTTTATAATCACTAATCACGGGTAGTCTTGTACTGTTATTTGAATTTTCTTATGTGTATGTATTCTCGCTAATGCAACAGTGGTGTTTGAGGGGAAAAAATCTACATATTTCAATTCTTTATAGCCCATCGTATCCCACTGAAGATTAAAATCATAGTAGATTCATAGACACTAAAAAATGTTTAGTATGACCAGCACTGCTGCCCAAATGCTTTAATGATATTTTAAAGAACATAATTTGCAAATCTTTTAATGACAGATAATTCTAAGATATAAAAGTTACATCAGAAATATAATTTCCCCTTTTTTACACTCTATCAAGCTTTGAGGGTCAAAATTTATACTTAACTTCACAAATAAATAAATCAAGCAGACACACTCCATCAGGCAAAAACTGTTTCAAATCAATATCATCATAAATAGTGCTAAGACTATATATCAATTAACCTTGGTTCTCTACTCAGTAATCCCAGTCATTATTATTGAGATTTTCTAAATGACTTCACTATCCAAATATGATATAATGCTGGAAAGTAGTACAATATTATCTGGCAAGATCACTGTGATGCCAGATTTATAAAATGGTCTTTAAGCAATAGTACTAGGAAATTATTTCTGTTCCCAACCCCCACCACCTCCCCAAAATCACTGTTTCAAAAAGAAAACAGCTGCTGAAAAATGAAAATGAAATCAGGCTGTGTGTATGTGTGTACCTAATGTTTCTGTGTCATGCCATATGGCTCTGAATAATTAAGTGCAAATGCAGCCTGATTCCAAAGTTGGCACCCCAAACTCTAATCCCAAAGCCACAGGCAGACCTGACGTAAGATTACAAATGTCACCAGAGCAGCCACAGCCTAGCTCGGGAAGCCATTTCCCAGATGAGACAGTTGGGAGGTATAGAAGGCAGCCCATCACTAGCTCTGTTCTTTTCTGTGCCCTTCAAATTATTTAAGTATGACGGTTTTCATAGGTTTCCCTACCATAATCTCAACAAAATTACATCTTCTGTTAATCATCGAGTTACAGAGCATCTCACATAGGCTAAATTTTACATTACTTCATAATAGAGTATCTCCACCAGCCTCAAAGCCTTTTGCTCACCATTCCAATCCAAATCAAATATATATGCAAAGAAGTCTCCTTCCTAGAAATTACAATGCTCCCAATCCCTAACCAAATAAAATAAACCTACATAATCAAGGGGCTGAAGAAACCTTTCCCGAGTAATCCCTATATTTTCTTTTTCTTTTTCTTTTTTCTTTTTTTTTTTTTTTTTTTTTTTTTTTTTGATACGGAGTCTCACTCTGTCACCCAGGCTGGAGTGCAGTGGCGTGATCTTGGCTCACTGCTACCTCTGCCTCCCAGGTTCAAGCGATTCTCCTGCCTCAGCCTCCTGAGTAGCCGGGATTACAGACGCGCCCCACCACGCCTAATTTTTGTATTTTTAGTAGAGACGGGGTTTCACCATGTTGGTCAGGCTGGTCTTGAACTCCTGATCTTGTGATCCGCCTGTCTCAGCCTCCCAAAGTACTGGGAGTAAAGGCATGAGCCATCGCACCAGGCGATCCCTATATTTTCATTACTTTAGGCTACTACTGTGCCCTAGTGGATACAGTCTCCTCTTGCCAAGCAAGCCCTATTAATCCCATCCTCTCTAACATGCCTGTCCGGTTAGCCTCTTTTACAGGCCTGGCCTCACCTGAAATGTCCATTCTAATGTAATTCCAAAAGCTTTATCTCTCCTCTAGTTTTAAACTTTTAATGTCTAATCTCATTCTCCAACTACCAAATAAAATTATGTACTTATTTATTTATGTTTAGAGACAGAGTCTCACTCTGTTGCCCAGGCTGGAGTGCTGTGGCAGATCAGAGCTCACTACAGCCTCAAACTCCTGGGCTGAAGCCATCCTCCTGCCTTGGCCCCACAAATAGCTGGGACTACAAGTGCACATGTCACCACAATCAGCTAATCTTTATTTTTTATTTCTTTAGTTTTAATTTACTTTTATTTTTATTTAGAGATGGGGGTCTCGCTTTGTTGCCCAGCCTGGTCTCAAACTCCTGGCCTCAAGCAATCCTCCTGACTCAGCCTCCTGAGTAGCTGGGCTTAGAGGCACAAGCCGCTGCTCCCAGATCAATTTTGTTTTTTAAATTTAAAGTCTTAATTCCTTCCCTTGACTGAAAAATATTCACTAAATAGCTACACAGACTGATTAGTCTCAGGGTGAATGTTTCTTTCTAGACATTTACAAATAGACATGTGCTTTCAGTCACTTGTTCTACGATATCTGTACTGTCTCTTTCATTAAAGTATATGCTCCTTAAGTCTAAAGACTCATTCTCCTACTTTCTTTAGAGAAATAAACACTGTTATTTCAATAAAATTGGTATTTATTGATTACTCATTTCTTGCTCCTGTTATCACATTATACCCAACGACTGTCAATGTTACATCACGATTTCTTCAACTAGGGCGGTACATCCCACCATGCTCCAGTGAGTATGTTATTCTGAAATCCCTTCACCACCACATCCAAGGACATTGCTCTTTTTTTTTTTTTTTTTTTTTTTTTTTTGAGACGGAGTTTCACTCTTGTCGCCCAGACTGGAGTGCAATGGCACGGTCTTGGCTCACTGCAACCTCCGCCTCCCAGGTTCAAGTGATTCTCCTGCCTCAGTCTCCCAAGTAGCTGGGATTACAGGCATGTGCAACCACACCTGTCTAATTTTGCATTTTTAGTAGAGTCAGAGTTTCATCATGTTGGTCAGGGTGGTCTCAAACTCCTGACCTCAGGTGATCCACCTGTCTCGGCCTCCCAAAGTGCTGGGACTACAGGTGTGAGCCATGTGTCCGGCCTCATTTGCCCTTTGATAATCACCTCTATTGCATCACCTCTATTACAATATCACAACACATTGAAAGATAGGAATAGACAAATATAATGCTATTGTTATCATAATTATAATTTCAATTTTCCCCACATTATTTTCACTGTATATTCCAAGTAAAATATCTTAACTCTAAACACTGAATCTTGGCAAACAGAGCAGCTCTGGGCCAAAGGCAATTTTACAGCTGTGTTATAAACTACCATGGGGTAAATATGCTAACAATCCATTAGTACAGCAGCACCAGCTGACTGCTCTGAAGAGCCATTATGTTTTACAAATGTCAGATACCCACAGATTAAAGTCTCCCTAAGTAAGTATGGACATGATTAAGCATAAAACAACTTCAAAAGACCCAAGTAATCTTCTCTTGTATGCAAAGCAATCATCTGCATTTCAGAGAAAAAAATGAGCTTTCTATTGAAATTAACATATATTTTATTCTAAAAAGTTAAGAAAATTTAAAGTATACTACTGCACATAATGCCAATTTGACAGCACTGTGTCAGACCTTTCAAGTATTTCTACACAGCTAGAAAAGCGAGATTTTCCTAAGTCCCATATGTGGTACAAATCACTGAAGCAATAAGAAAAACTCTTTTAAGTTTTTGAACTGCACATATTTTCCGGCTTTTTAAAACTTTTACATCCAATATTTTACTTTATTTTGATAGAGTTAGGTGAAAAGGATATGGTATATTATGAAAACTTATACTAACTATCCTAACAAAGTAACAGCCATTAGGTCTGCAATACTAAAAATGCCAAATGAAGAAACTCTTGAAAAATGATTGCAGATTTTTTTTCCCATCGTCTATTGATAGCCAAAGTACTTTTCCCTAAGGAGTGTGAGGCAATCTGAACTTAAAACACAAAGTGTAACCTTTGAGAAGTTAATCATAAATACCTAACAAAATTTCCCTAAATTGAGGACTGATAAAGAACAATCTCAACTGGTGCATTATTAGAAAGGGAGGAAGGATGGAAAGAAGTAGAGGGGACTAGCAGAGACTCTACATAAGTAAAAACTACATTTTATCATTCTGCGCATTTTATCATTCTGTGCATTTTTCCAACAAAAAAAGATAACTGATCATTAAGAAAATAGGAAGCACATTTACTTTTTCAAAAGCAAGGAAAAATAAGTGTAATTGCATGATCTAAAACTATAAAATTCAGAATGTATACTCTCAGATACTGAAATTCTGACAAATTACAAATAAAAAATGTACCAGAAGAAGCCAATAAGACTCAAAGTTTTAAAAACCAGGTATAAATATAGCCATAGGTATGTTTCAGAAACATATCTGTTTCAGTAACATAACTGGCCAGCTGTCTGGAAGACAGATTACAGTAACAGAACGGGAAGATAACTCAATTAATAGGTATGGCAGACATATTCTTTTCCCAAAGGTATACTATCCCAATGTGTATACTATATAAATAAATGCTATCCCTTCCTGTCCCACTGATATCAAGCTTGGCCATGTACCTTGGGTATCTTCCTACTGAAAGATGATACCTTGTTATGCATTAGATTTTAAGGTTGGTGCTGAATGTCTTGGCCAATGAAATGTGAGCAGAAATGGGATATACCATTTCCGAGCAAAAGCATTAATGAGCGACCATGTGCTCTGCCACTGCTCTGTGCTCTCTACCATGGGCCCACCAAGTCATACCCAGGAGGGTGCCCTGCCAACATGAGTTGTGGAGGGAAGAGGATATAGTACTATAATCAATTACTCACAATGAACATGCAACATGAGCATGAAATAAACTTCTATTGGATGAGCTAGTAACATCTTTGAGGTCTTCTGTTACTACAGCATAACTGAGCCTAACCTGACTGAATACTTCATAAAACACTTATGGTATCTTGAAGCAGGCCAAAATGAAGAGAGTGGGACCAACTGGATGGACTTCTGGAAGGCTGGCAAGAAAAGGTGGGGAATTCAATATTATATATTAAGAACCACAAACAAAGAACGAAAAATGCAGGAGGGTCGAGATATCAAAAAGGCCATCACATGGAAGCAGAACTGGTTGCGTTATAAATGATCCCAAAGAACAGAGTTAACGAAGAAATGAAAGTTAGAGGAAGACAGGCTTCTGCTCAGTGTAAGACTTTCTAATACTAAGCACTCTTTAAAGATAAAAAGAACTCTTTGGAAAACTGTGCTTACTTAACCAAAAGTATATATTCAGTAAAAAAGATATTATAAGGCTGGGTACAGTGGCTCACGCCTGTAGTCCCAGCACTGTGGGAGGCCGAAGTGGGCAGATCACTTGAGGTAAGGAATTCGAGGCCAGCCTGGCCAACATGGTGATACCCCATCTCTACTAAAAAATACAAAAATTAGCCAGGTGTGGTGGTGGGTACCTGTAATCCCAGCTACTGGGGAGGCTGAGGCAGGTGAATCGCTTGAAACCGAGAGGCAGAGATTGCAGTGAGCCAAGATCGCGCCACTGCACTCCAGCCCAGGCAACGGAGCGAGACTCTGTCTCAAAAAAAAAAGGGAAAAAAAAAAAAAGATATTATAGAAAGGGATTCCATGATTAGCTGGGTAAATTGACTATGTGACTTTTAATGTTTGTCTCCCACTCTGAAAAGGTAATACCAATACTTCTGTTAGCTAGTATCAACAACAGTTAACCACTTATTGAGCTCTTACAATGAGAAAGGTACTGTGCTGAGCCAAAGAACCCTTCACCATGTTACTGGTGAAGGAACAGGAGCTCAGCAGGCTTTAGTCACTGGCATGTGTCACACAGTTAACTGGCAGAACTGAGACCCAAAATATCTCTTATCTCTGAAGGAAGTGAAGAAAAGGACTTAAACAAACACGTACCCCCAAAAAGAGACATAAAATTAAAGCTAACTATGTTATCTTCTGTCTGATATCGTTATGGACAATGCTCTTGAGTAAGTAGCAGTGATCTTTTCGGTGTTTTTAATGGACAGATGACCCTAGCTAGATATATACAATGTAGTTTCAACAAATACTGAAAAGTTACAAAAGTAAGTGAAAGGTGAAAATATTTAAAGTCACATTACCATAGAATTTAAAATATTCTACACAGCATCAATATAAGATTACCTCAGCACCAATCAATAGCAATGACAAATGAAATTGTATTATTCTGTGAGAAATTTCCTTAATTTCTACAGTAAAATTGTTTTTCAATAACTCACTTCAGTGACATTATTCTGCATACAATAGAAATTGCAGCCTTTTGGAAAGAAGGTCAATTTATATGGCTCCTGCTTAGCTGTGAGAGATTCTCAATGTAGTAAATGAAATTCCCTTTTAATTAAACCTATCTTATGCTTAAAAAATAAAAAGCAGAAATAATAGATCACAATACAAACTTTGTTAACATGCAAACTATGGAAAAAATGGCTAGGGAGAGACACAAACACTCTCCAAGTGATAAAGTCCTTGATGATCTGTTTTAATATCCTCAGTTGGGCCGGGCGCCGTGGCTCATGCCTGCAATCCCAACTCTTTGGGAGGCCAAGGCGGGTGGATCACGAGGTCAGGAGTTCGAGACCAGCCTAGCCAATATGGTGAAACCCCATCTCTACTAAAAATACAAAAATTAGCTGGGCATGGTGGCACGTGCCTGTAGTCCCAGCTGCTTAGGAGGCTGAGGCAGGAGAATTGCTTGAACCTGGGAGGCGGAGGTTGCAGTGAGCCGAGATCGTGCCACTGCACTCCAGCCTGGGCAACAGAGCGAGACTCCATCTCAAAACAAACAAACAAACAAACAAAAAAAAAAAACCCCTCAGTTCTAGCTTTCAAGCCAGAAACTCACAATATCCACATCTTATCTGAATAGAAATGAAAAGGCATAACAGAAAATTGCCAGGAATAAGACAGTAAATAAATTCTCAATAAATTCATATTGTAAACAGGTTTTTCAAAGACTACAACAAATGGTTGTACAGGTATCCAACATTTTGGCTTCCCTGTGTCTCATCGGAAGAACTGTCGTGGGCCACACATAAAATAGACTCTAACATTAACAATAGCTGAGCTTTAAAAGAAAGGGGGGGGGGGCGCGTGGGGGGTGGGGGTGAGCTGTGCGTAATTTTCATGATATCCATCACCACAGATAAGCAAGCATATATTAGCCCTTCCAACTTCTGTTGACAATGAATAAACGGAGCCAACAACAATCATTTAAATTAGCTTTCCTATCTCATGAGCAGGGTAATTTTCATTCATAGAACAAAGTTACATTAAGTTTGATAAGAGAAAATTATTATCTTAAAGAACAACAGGATTAGTACCATTTTTCAAAAGAATCTGAAGTCATCCATAGAAACTATATGAAGATGGTTTGTTTGATCATTATTTTCTAAAAGAAAAGATGTTTTATTTGTTTCAAAATTGACTCCTGTAGGAGGGCTCAAATAGAGCATTCTGGAACTACTTTAATGAAATTTGAAAGAATACAAATCAAAGTATGTAAAATAAAAAATTTATGGTGAAAATAATTACTGACATTAACAGTATGTGAGGCATTATGTGGCACACATGATATATATCTATCATCTAGCAAAAGCTCAAGGTACATGGTGTCCTGTACTTAAATGTTAACTAAGGCTTAGTGAGATTAGGGTAACTGTCCAAGTAACAGACCCTGAAATGAAGCCAAGGAATAACCCAAAATTCTTTAGAACTATCCCAAACTTTATATGTCATAATTAATTTCCTTTTTTTTTTTTTTTTTTTTTTTTTTTGGAAACAGGGTCTCACTCTGTCACCCAGGCTAGAGTGTGGTGGCATGAACACAGCTCACTGCAGCCTCAACCTCCTGGGCTCAAGCAATCTTCCCACCTCAACCTCCCAAGCAGCTGTGACCACAGGAGCACACCATCATGCTCAGCTAACTTTTAAAATTTCTGTAGATACATGGTCTCACCATGTTTCCCAGGCTGACAATTTTCTTATAAATAATAGTTTAATTTGACCTGACTTCAATTTCCAACAAAAAAATTCTGAATTCATGAGCCATAAATAAATGAAATACCTGCATTTCCCCTCCCTCCCAGTTTTTCTGCTCTTCTAATTGTCTCTCGACAAAGAAACATGCTACCATTGCCAGTACAAAACTTAAAAGAATGTAATTCATTTTCGCATTTGTTCGTATTCTTCTGAAAGGAATAAATCATGATATTAAAAAAAAACACAGTGAGCTACAATTTTAAAATATACTTTGTTCACATACCTTGTAACTTTGTATAAAAAGAATTGTGCTTAAACGTGTGTTAATTATTGCAGAGATACCAAGAGCTTTATTCTGGTACAGGATTATGGCAACAGTAAGTTTTCCACATTTTCTTGGATAGAGTTTCTGTGTACTTTGTTTCGTTTTACAGTGGGAGACAGAATTACCAAATATTTAGAATACTTAAGAGTACTCAACTCTTAAATCAATGGTTCCACATGCATAGTACACCTTAGTAACAGATGATTTCTAGGTCTACTCCAAAAGACAGATTTGGAGGAACACTCAGAGGAGCTAAAGTTGAGAATGAGAAATAGAGAAATCTTCCGTCAGAAAAGTCTTTCTGAGTAGCTTAAATAACATATCAACTGTAGTTCAAGTGTCCTAAGCAGTTGTATTACAGTGGTAACCACCCTAGCCAATAGTTTGGATAAGAAACTGGTAAGTCCTCACAGCTTTGATTACCTGAAAGTACTACATACAGACTCAGGAAGAGACGTAAAAAGTTTTTCTCATACAAGCTCTTAATGAACCCATTCTTTCTCATCCACTTCTCCCCTCAAAACACTATTCAGAGCCTGGAACATATTGCTATGCCAGAAAGTAAGGGGATGCTCCAACGATGGGATCATGTCAAAAGGACATAGGAGCGAGCCATCACAAAGGGGCTTCCTCTGACCAAATCTGGAAAAATTTAAGCATCAAAATAAATGATGGTAAAAATCAACTATAATCCATTGAATAAAATAACAATCCATGGGTCCCAATTTACATAGCAAGATTAAATAAATAAATAAATAAATAAATAAATAAGGAAATAAAATGCAAGAAAATGAAAAAGCTCTTCCTTACAACAGGATGCCAACTAATAAAAAGTAGAAAGAATGGTGGCATTTGAAAATGAACAGTACAACCATAATGGTAATAAATGATTTAAGCAAGGACTACCAATATAGTCTAAAACAAATAAATGAAAATTTGATGAGAAATAGGATAATTATACAATCTCATTGTATCTGGCCACAAATTACATATTAATTACAAACACAAAATTGACAAAGATAACAGTTAACAAAATACTTATTAGTTTATAGCGGAGAAACTTGACAGAACATTACCTCAGTCAATTGACAGAACATGTTAACATCACTAATAATGGGACACTGACGATATGAGCCTACTGAAAACACAACATCACTTCTATGGTATTCCTACTACTAATAAAAAGCATAACCTGAATTTAAGCATGAGAAAACTATCTCAAACTGAAAGTCAATATAAGGTTTGAACTCATCAAAAATATCAATGTCAAGAAAGAAAAAAAAGGCTAAAGAACTGTTCTGGATTTAAAGAGACATGAAAACTAAATACAATGTATGATCATGGATTAATCTTAGGAGGTTAAGCTATAATGGATGTAACTGGGACAACCAATGACATCTGAATTGAACTACGGGTTAGATAATGGCATTTTATCAATGTTACATTTCCTAATTTTTATCATGATACTGTGCTAATATACCTTTGTCCTTAGGAAACATACACCAAATACTTAAGGGTAAAAAAGAACATCAATCTTGAGTTTACAAATATGCAAATGATTTAGGGAATAAATTTTAAAAATAAAAACTACCGTTGAAGGGCAGGGAATATGGGAGTTCTTTGTACCATTCCCAAAACTTCCCTAAATTTCAAATTATATCAATAGAAAGAGAAACTAAAGATTTATGTAATTTTCATACTAGCAATAAATCATTGCAAGTGAAAAGTTTTTGAAAATTACAGGAAACTCTCGGTATCTAGCAATATACTTGGTTGTCTGCAAACCACTGTCTGCTGTTCCTTCTCTTACCTTTCTAACAGATTGTGGATCGCTTTGAAGAGCAGCGTCCTACATTCATAGGAAAGGCCATTTTCCCAGAGTCCTTCTTCCACAACTGAAAAAAAAAAGAAAAAAGAAAAAAAAAGAACCAGTAAAAAGGACATCCAAATAAAAAGAAACTTTTAAAACATTTTTCTAAAGCAAAGTTCATGAGTTAATTTAAATGACTTAAATAATCTCACGCTGAAACAGAGAGTGGAATTTAAGTATTTGCCCAAAGTTAGAAAATACTTACGTACAAAAAAAAGTAATGTGTCTTGGTTTTAAAGTCTGAAATATGAGGCATGGTGTAACACTCCTCCCATAAATGTCTTTACAATCTGCTTCTTCAAAGTTTAAAATCATTTAAAATTCTCAAATTAATCTATTTAAGAGTATCGCAAAGACTAATTTTGTTAAAGTTCTATTGAAAGGTAAAAAGAATGTCACAAATTAATAGCAAAGTTATAAAATGTTTTTTAGAGGGAAAATCAAGAGGAAAAAAATTCCAAAAGTGTGAGATTTACACAAATGTCTTTACATGTTTTGAAGGTCTAAAGGACATGATTTTAGAGACTGTCAGGAAATTACATCTTCCCAGAACATCAAATTTATTTCCTGAATTTATAATTTTGTTAATGTTTGACATTTTGGGAAGTATCTTGTTTGCCTCTGAAATATATTATAACATTGAGCCACAAGTAACTCCAACACCAAAAGAATCCAACGTATTAACAATGCCCCATGCATTCCTAAAATTCCTTTTATTTTCATAAATATATAAACAGATACAAAATGTCCTAGAGAAGACAGTTAATTTCCTTTTAAATTACACTAGTTCAATGCAAGACAGCAAAAAATTGGAAGGATGAAAACAACATTTACAGAAGAAAATTTCCTCTCTTTTACTTGTTATCTTGACAAAAGCACTCAGAGGAGAAAATTCTGACAGAATTAAAACACACATGATATCCACAAGGCATGTTTAATGCTTTTACCACACCAGTAGACATACCAAAATGCATCTCCATATTCTCAAATCAGACAGCATTTGAAAAACTACACATTCAGGCCTTTTATCTTCTATTAGACTTTCTGAAAATTACAAAGCTGAATTTTTTTTTCTTGGTTATGTCAAATAACTTTTTGTCTTCCTGCCTATGTGGCTAATCCTGATTTACCAAATTTTCCCAAAGCAATCTCTGTCTAAAACAGTTATGATATTTATAGCAAGAGAAATAAAGTACAGCAAACAGAAAAACATTCCTGCTAACAAATGATAGTCTTTGCTTAAGACAGAACATTCCGAAATTTCCAACAATGCTCTGCAGGTATCATGAATCTATGTTCCCTCTGACACATTTATCCTTTGGGTAGAATTTTTCTGGGTTTGAAAAAGAGCTAATATCTCAATAGAAAGAACACCCCACATTAATTTGTTTTTATTTCCTACTGTGTTTCACTGACCCTAAGGCACCATCAAGTTTGAGATACACCATTATTTTGCAAACCACCAGGAGAAGAGGGGAAGGTGACAAACTATAACATCATTCCTATCACTTACAATTTTTACCTTCCAATTATTCAAAGAGCTCCTTTAAACTTATTGAGTCCTAGTCATCACATTCCATTATTATGCATACATAAAACAGATAATATAAGCAAAATAAATTAGTTAAAAATTCCTAACTACATCAATATTCCAAGTCTACCTCTTCTGAATCACTCTTCAACCCAGTCACTGGTGCAGTATCTTCCTACATAATCATCCTCTGTGCCATAAAGAGTGCTGGTGATGCAGCACTTGTGAAGAGTGTGCCACTTTTATTTCCATAATTTTCTTCCACTGGTGACACCTATTCGGCACATTGTTTAAAACTTCTGATATTAAAATCTCCAAATATACTTGAAAATAGGGGGCTGGATGTGGTGGCTCACAGCTGTAATCCCAACATTTTGCAAGGCCGAGGCAGAAGGATTGCTTGAGCCCAGCAGATCAAGACCAGCCTGGGCAACACAGCCAGTCCCCATCTCTACAAAAAAAAAAAAAATTATATATATATATAAAATTAGCCAGGTGTAGTTGTGCACGCCTGTTGTCCCAACTACTCTGGACGCTGAGGCGAGAGTATTGCTTGAGCCTAGCAGGGTCAAGGTTGCGGCAAGCCATGATCATGCCACCACTGCACTCCAGCCTGCGTGACAGAGTGAAAGCCTGTCTCATAAAAAATAAATAAAAAGGAGGGAGGGAGGGAGACAGTGAGTGGAGGAGGAAGAGGGGAAGAGGGAGAGAGGAGGGGGAGGGGAAGAGGGAAAGGGGAGGGAGGGGTAAGAGGGAGAGGGGAGGGAGGGGGGAAGAGGGAGAGGGGAGGGAGGGGGGAAGAGGGAGAGGGGAGGGAGGGGGGAAGAGAGAGAGGAGAGGGGGAGAGGGAGACAGAAGGGGGAGATCGATCAAGAAGGGAGAAGAAAATAGAATAACAAGTCCCAATAAATTCCTAAGCCAAATAATCAACATTATGTCTCCTGCTGCAACCACCCTTTTTGTTTTTATTTTGATATACTTTATGGCAAATCCCACTCCTAAATACTTCAGCGTGCATCAAATCATATTCTCAGCAAGGTCTGCCAATTCTCTCTTAAGTCTTCTTTGATCAAGTACAGCCCTTTTCCTTTTTTTTAAACATGCAGTTGACTTGGTGAAGAAACCAGGTTACCTGTCTTAATATCTCATATTCACATCCAATTTCTTCCTCATGATATCATCATTTTACAAGTTTTAATAATGGTGTTACCTTGACCTTGTCAGAGGATGTCAAAGGAAAGTTTACAAACAACAAACTCCCTCTAATTATTCTCAAATACTTTGTCAACTGAAATACTGAGGTGTTAACAGCTCTCCAGGCATGCGCTGTGGAACACTGAACAATTAATGAGCATGCACAGGCAATGCCAGCTTTACCACAATTGCTGTATAGCTGACACAATTTTAATACACCATTAAAATTTTATCCTGATTTCTACAATTTTAAAATAGAACCCAGAAGAGACTTTCTTCTTCAAACAAACAACAACAAAAAAAACTTGAGAGTGATTAACCAAAACCTACAATTAACATCATACTTAGTGGCAAAAGACTGAACGAACGGTAAGGATGTCTGCTCTCACTACTCCTATTCCACATTATACCTGAATTTCATCCAATACAATAGGGCAAGAAAGAAGAAATAATCGTCTCTATTTACATATGACACGACTGTCTATCAGAAAATCCTAAAGAATTAACAGAAAAAATCTACTAGAACTAAAACTGAGTTTAGCCAAATCACTGAATACAAGGTCAACAGACAAAAAACTATCACATTTCTATATTTAGGAATAAATAATTAGAAACTGAAATTTTTTAAAGTACCATTTACAGTAGCACCAAAACCCATAAAATCCTTGGGTATAAATCTTACAAAATATGCTAAAACTACAATACTAACAAACGAAATAAAAAAGATAAATAAATTGACCACAAAATAGAAAAATTCTTGATGCCAATTCTTCTCAAAACAAACTACAGAATCAACTCAATTCTAATAAAAATCCCTGCAGGATGTTTTATAGAAATAGCTGAGCTGAGTCTATATATTTATATGAAAAGACAAAGGAACTAGAACCACCAGAACAATGTGGTAAAAGAAAAATACAGAAATACTTACGTCAACCGAGTTCTAGGTTTAGTATGAATTAGGATAGAGCAAGCAAGCCAGCACAGTACTGTAGAAAGGATACACATCAATAGAACTGAGTTCAAAAATTGAGCCACAAATTCATTTTTTTTAATTCAACAAAGGTGCCAAGGCAATTCAGTCAATTCAGTAAAGGAAGAAAAGAAAAAGAACCTCAAACCATATAGAAAAAGTAACTCAAAATGAGATCACAGACCTGAACGCAAAACCTAAATCTAGTATTTCTAAAAATACATAGGAGATAAATTTTGGGAGCTTAGGGTAGGCAAAGATTTCTTAGATATGACACCAAAAGCATGATCCATAAAAGAAAAACTGATAAACAGAGTTTCATCAAAATGAAGAACTTTGGCTCTTCAAAAAATATGGGAAAGTTATGTTAAGCTATGGAAAAGACATGCCACAGATGGGGAATAAACAGTTACAAATCACATATCTGACAAGGACTTGTATTCAGAATACGTTACTTTTTTTTTTAATCTCAAAACTTAACTACCAAAAAAAAACAATTTTTTAAATGGGCAAAAGATTTGAACAGACGGTTCACCAAGTAAGACTAGATGAATAGCAAATAAGTATATGAAAAAGTGCTCAACACCTCATTAGTCATTAGGGAAATGTAAATTAAAATCACAATGAAACTTCATTATCCATTAAAATGGCTTAAAAGAAAAACTGACAATTCTACGTGCTGATTAACATATAGAATACAGTAGCCAGAACTGTCATATACTGCTGGTTGGAATGCAAAAACAGCACAGCCACTTTGGAAAAGTTGCCTTTGGCGATATTTTGTAAAGTTAAACATACATTTACCATACAACCCAATATCCCGTTGTAATATGACAATATCCCGTCGTAATATTGTGAAACACATATTTGGTCCTGTTTCCTGACATACAGCTCCTAAAATCCTTGAAATGTCTAGAGGGCTAAGAATGGTTTTTGTACACTAGTGGCTAAAGAAATGACAGGTGGCCTAGATAGCCTCAGGATGAGGGCTGATTATCAGGGAAATAATCATGTGACCAGAGGGTTAGAACTTTCTATCTCAGCCCCCTATTCCCCAACCCCCACCCTGACTTCTAGGGAGAAGCGCTGAAAGTTGAGTTGATCACTAATGGACAATTAACAATGATTTAATGAATCAAACCTACATGATTATATAACGAAGCTTTCATAAAAACCCAAAAAGACTGAGTTCTGAGAGCTTCAAAATAACTGGACACATGGAGGTTCTTGGAGGGTGGCGCACTCAGAGAAGGCATGGAAGCTCCTGCCCCTCTCTACATAACCTGCCCTATGCATCTCTTCCATTTGGCTGTTCTCTGTACCCTTTGTAATAAACCAGTAAACATAAGTAAAGTTTTCCCCTGAGTTCTGTGAGCCATTCTAGCAAATTAACAGAACCCAAGGAGGGGGCTGTGGGAACCCCAGATTTATAGCCAATTGGTCAGAAGCTTTGGAGGTCCAGACTTACTCCTGGCATCTGAAGTCCCACAGTCCTGTGGGACTAAGCCCTCAACCTGTAAGATGGGATGCTATCCCCAGGTAGACAGTGTCAGAATTGAATTGAATTAGAGGACACCCAGCTGGTGTCCCCTGCAAAACTGATTAATTACCTGATGTAGGGGAAACACCTGCTCTCCACCTCTGCAACATTTGGTCACAGAAGTGTTTTGTGTTGTGAGAGTACATGAGAAAAAGAGTTTGTTTTTCCCTAGAACCTTACATCCTTCTAGGTATATACTCAAGTTTGGAGGATGTAAGGTTCTAGGAAAAAACGAACTCTTTTTCTCCTACTGTACTCTCACAACACAAAACAAACTACAGCAAATGTATATAGTAGTTGTATTTGTAAATGCCAAAAACTGGAAACCATCCAAATGTCTCTCAACAGTGGGAAAAACAATGAAATATCTATACAATGGGCTACTACTCAGAAATAAAAAGGAACTTCCAATACAAGAAAAAATATGGATGAATCTCATTATGCTAAGTAAAAAGAAGCCATACTCAGACTATGTGCTGTATGATTCATTCATATGTCATTCTCGCAAAAGGCAAATTTAAGGTACTGTAAACTTCTCAATGGTTTCCAGGGATGGAGGTGGTGAGACAGGTTGATACCAAAGGGACACCGGAAATTTGAGGGGTGATGCCCCCCACTCTATATCTTGATTATAGTGGCAGTTACATACCTGCATACATTTGTGCAAACGCGCAGAAATATTATTTACTAAATAATGTATTATTTACTAAATATGGTAAACTTTACTCACAATCTTTTACTGTTCTAAATTACGAAAACTCATTTTACCATTGGGCCAAGTTTCTAGACTTAAGCCATCATGAATATGCTAATATTGACCTCTTTATTTTCTTAGTATTGTAATCAAAAGGACTCCTACTCTAAATTTATATATAAAAAGCATTCTCTAAATCCAAAAGATATGGTATTTATGTGATTAACCTCCATTCATAAAGTATTAAAAACAAAAAAAAAAAGTTTGAGTAATTAACAAGGAAATTCAGACTGAAGTAACTGTTCCTAGAGCCCAATGTACCAGTTATATTCTTCACTTCATATCAAACACTGTATATAATGCAAATGTAACAAAATATAAACATCTTAAGGCATTTTTTTAATTTTTTGAGACAGGGTCTCGCTCTTTCACCCAGGCTAGAGTGCAGTTACATGATCACAGCTCACTGCAGCCTCGACCTCCCAGCCTCAAGCAATCCTCCTACCTAAGTCTCCCCACTTTCTGGGAGTTACAGGCATAGGCCACCATGCCCAGTTACTTTTTAATTTTTTTGTAGAGATGGGGTCTTACCATGTTGCCCAGGCTGCTCTTGAATCCCTGAGCTCAAGTGATCCTTCTGCCTCAGACTCCCAAAGTGCTGGGATTACAGGTGTCAGCCACTGCACGCAGTCAAAATTTTTATTTTTTAAATGCTAAAAATTATTTTGAAAAATAATTATATGGTCATTCTCATCTGTTCTTTTATATTCTGTAAGTATATAACATAAATTAACATAAAGTTTGGGCACTAAGTTAATATAAAATAGGAAAGTAGTAATACAAAATAAAACAAATCATACTATATTAAGCCCTTGTCTAAGGAAAGTGTACTAAAGCTTAGAAAACAATAGAAAATTATAAATTATAAGTTAACAAACAAAATTTAAATATAAATCAGTAGATAATTTAAAAAGCATTCAGTGTTTGGATTTAAATTTCCTATGTCTTAGATATTGCATTGAAAATTACATACTAAAGATTCAAGAATAATCAATTTATCATAAAAAATTATAAGCCAATAACCACTCTAATAAATACTATCAATTTAGGCTATGAAATTAAGGATAATGCATTAATTTGCTGACCCTTTCAATTTACTATCACTAACAAATGCATTTGTCAAACAGAATGTAAATCAGACCATCCTTTTTTTCTCATGATCAGAGTTTCCAGAAATACAGGAGCAGCATATGTTTCAATAAATCCCTAAAATTTCAAAATAAGTTAAATCTGCAAAGACATGCTTGGAATCTAATAACAGATAATTTGATCAACATTAACTAGACAACACTACTTGACCGTGTTATGTGTCAAGCACCAGGCTAAGAACTAGGAATGCTCTCAAAAAGCTAACACATGTATGTGCAAACCACTCGGAAGCAAAAATTATTTTGAAACTTTGCAGAATAGCTACTAGCATAAAATGTCTTAAATTTTAAATTAACAATTAAATAACATATAATCAAGGTTGGTTTTCTATCCAGAAAACAATCATTCTTGTTTTATTTTATGTGCCAAGCTTTGAATTAGGCACTACATATAAATGGGGAGGTGGGGAGACTACTCACCACCACACTATGAGACATCTGGCACACTTCTGTCACTCAGTGTCGGGCTT
The DNA here is from genome assembly GCF_000001405.40 of Homo sapiens. Classification (NCBI taxonomy): domain Eukaryota; kingdom Metazoa; phylum Chordata; class Mammalia; order Primates; family Hominidae; genus Homo; species Homo sapiens. The sequence goes on from NC_000012.12 coordinate 116,119,095, forward strand.
CTTCATTATCACTATCATTAAGAGTCCTAATTGGGATCAAATATAATCACCCCTAACGGAAACTAAAAATACTGATTCTCTCTTTTCCATCCTCCCCTACAGTGTGGACAAGGACATACATTCTAACCCCTACCAGATGCTCCTGGTCGACACCTTTGACTCTGAATCCAGGGACAAAAAGAAAGCCGATGGAGATATCTTTCTGACAGCTCTAGGAACAGAGGCTTCAAGATCAAGTTTTTGGTGCTAAAGTAGCAGAGGTACCACAGCATCTAGTGCTTGGTGGTAGCTAGCAGTACCTTTCTCATTGAACCAGTTCTGTAGCGCCGATTGTAAAAGTGCCAAATAGTTGGATACCCAATATTCTTTTAATCAACTCCTTTTCTTAGTTTGAAGCTAAGAACTCTGATGAATACAGTTGATTCTAATCTCCATTTTATACATGAGAAAACTAACACTTAATCTTAAGAAGGCACAGTGCCTTACACCTGTAATCCTATCACTTTGGAAGATCAAGTGGTAGGATTGCAAGGCTCCAGCTCTTAAAAAAACTTTAAAAACTTAGCTGAATTTGGTGGCACGGGCCTGCAGTCCTAGCTTCCTGGGAGGCTGAGGCAGAAGGCTCACTTGAGTCAAAGAGTTTGAGGCTGCAGTAAGCTATGATGGCATGCCACTGTACTCCAGCCTAGGCAAGAGAGAAAGACCCCATATCTTTAAAAAAAAAAAAAAAAAAAAAAAAAAAAAATATATATATATATATATATATATGAAACTTGTCCAAAGTCACATAACTAAGAAGTCTTAAGAATTTGTAGTCAAACTGAGCTACAGTCAGCAGCATACAGGGATCAAATGCTTTTACACCTACTGTTACAAATAATAAATATATTAATCATTCCATTAACTGAATTCCTCAAGGGGAAGCAATTTATTTTCATAGCTGCTGTGGCTAGAACTTCTCGGATATTCATAAACATGCATAGAGTTGACTTGATTATGTATATTTCAAAATGTCATTGAAATTAGCACCAATCTAAAATTTCCTCACATCTACTTAAAGAGGATTAGTGGTACAGATGGGATTCATATCCAAATGTTCTGACTCTGACACCCATGCTCTTTCCCCTACACAACACTTAGTGTTAAGCAAATCCACTCACTCAACCCTTCTTTAACCATTCTTTTATTCTTAGCACTGGGTAGAAAGGCAATGTTAACACTGAAGTTAAATTTTCCTTTGGTTCCAAAATTTGGACCTAAAATTAATGTGTTCTAGTTACATGTTAACTTTTTCAAAGGCTAAGTCAGACAAAACCACATTTTGGCTTCTTTAAATAATCTCTCTTTCTCTCTCTCTCTCTCTCTCTCTCTCTCTCTCTCTCTCACACACACACACACACACACACACACACACACACACACACACAGAGTAAGATTTTCTTCAGGGGAAAATACATAAAGAGGGACAGAGTAGTTAGCCTACGTTTCTACAAATGAAATGCATTCTCCCTTTCAAGGTAGACTGAGAAGAAAAACGACTACCAAAAAGTCTATAAGAAAGTCCTATCTTTATGAAACCTACAATCTCTCCACGGCATGCTGTCTCCATTCCAAAAGAAAAAAAAATAAAAAACAGGAAAAAAAGCCTTTCTAATTCTTTTGATCTTTCCAGTTTCTATTTAAATGCTTATAATACCTTAAGAATATAAAGTAGCAAAAAGACTATCTCTATAGACTATGTTTATAAGTCTAATTATGCATAATGGGAGAATTTTCCTAAAATTTTGTTGGTCTCAAAAGAACCAAGAGATCTAAAATGCATGTAAAATAAATGAGTGACAACAGTCAATCAAAACAAGGAATTTCTAAATTAAAACATTCTCCTGCTGTTATTTTGTCTATTACAGCCAGATTAAAAACTAAAACTAAGTACTACTACAGCTGCCTATTTACAAAGAAAAACTATTTTGGCACTAAAGTTATCTCACTTAAATTATAAAAGCTATAATCAGAATGTGTTTACGTTGCTGTTATTCAACCTTTTTTAATACAGTTATCCTCATAATCAAATATTTAAACTGCAAAAGTAGTATATAAATGTTTTTTAACAGAAAAGACAGTGTTTATAAAGGAAAAGTTTTAAATAGTAGTAATTACTGCTTAGTGCCCAAATAATTTTTCAAATCCCCATCAATTGCAATATAACTTCTTTCAACTTCACCAAACATGACTCCTTACAGAATTAATAAGCTTATTTGAAAGAAAAAACATAGAAAAGGTTCAGGGAGAAAAAAAGTCAATATGGCAAAATATCAAAGCAGCATATACTTCAATGATTTTGTGTTTTCCAGCAGAGATCTTGGAAAGATATCCCTTCCAATTCCATAAATGAAACTGACATACTTTACTTGAAGGGGAAAAAAAAATGGGAGGAGGGAGAATGGAATAGGGTAGGGAGGAGCATAAAGATTGTGAAACCTTGAAGAAATTCAAGCTCATGCTTTTAGAATTCAGGTCACCCAGCCTTACACAGTTTAAAAGTAGAATTACTTTCAAAGAATACATATTTCCTCTGAGCTATGATACATATTTCCTTTTAATGTATCATATTGCAGCAACAGCTGAAATGAACGTCTAGACATCAAAAACACTTCTTACTCCCACCTACTGCTTTTTTACCTCAGGCATCAAAACTAATGAAACCTATTATCCAGAACATTGAGTTCAGCAACGGCATTGGCCACTGCAAATATTGGAGGTGGGGGAAGGGCACTTTCAGGGATGGCACTTCTTATTCAGCCGTTAAAATTGTTGAAAATCAAATTTCACTCGAAACTCCAGAAACACAAGTAAAGGAAGGCACAGGAAACAAGTACATTGTTTCCCAGTTAGATTTCAGTAACTAACGGCTAAAGATAGCATAGCTCTGAATCCAAGGTTTATCATTTGCCCACTGCCTTTGTTTTCAATTTCTACCTCAAACATATAAAACGCATCGTAGTGTTTAAAAAAAAAAATCTTCTGAATTATTAAATCTACTTCCAAAAACTACACTAATCAGATATTACAACAAGGAAACATGTATCCACTTAATCTAACTGCAGCAAATGAAGGATACCAAGATAAATAAACGATTTTGAAGTATCTGCTTTCTTAAAAACTGACTTACCAAAGAAACTCAGTAACAAAGGAGCACAATGCTACATTAATTATGAAATATAGCACTTCACACATAAAAAAATCCAATGACTTACAACACTACACCACCACTGACTGATCAATTTATGCTGCCATCAGTTGCCTGGTAGAATCTATATTTGAAGTCATTAATAACTAAATGGACTTATTACTTATATCAACTTCAACCTATTTAGAGCTCTGATTTCTTGAATTGCTCATGAGTGTAAAATATTCAGTATCACTTAACAAATCTATGTTGGAAATGGATTGTAACCTTCCCGATGTCAATTCATCAAACAAATAAGAATCATGGATAGAAGATACATACTAAAACGTTCCATTTATTTCAAACTATTTGCAACCTTAAGTGATTACAAATATTGATAATATTTGGCAGACAGAAGCACAATTGCGATTCAAAATTTTAACAGTGTACTATCTTCCTAAGGAATCAGCATGGGTTCTCTGCCAGTTGCAGGATAACCAGAATTTTAATGACAGTTTCTACACAGCATTGTAGCAGTTGAGACACGACCCAAGTTAGCATTTCAATGGATCACAAGACTCCCTGTAAAGCCAGCAAACTTTAAATTGAAGGAAACCATAAAACTAAATTTCGAGATAAACTGTACAAGGCCTTCAAAAGACAACTGCTACAGAAAACAGGCTGCAATGTTACTTTAATAGCTGCACACTGAAAAAGAAATCTTGCACAATGGCTGTTATTGACTTCTCAAAACCAAATTTGTCCCCATTTGCTACTTCTTCCAAATATTTTTTAAAATGATTACCATTTTTAACCTTTAAAATGATTAACATGCTCTTAATATGCTCTAGAATGCATAAACAAGGGTCCAGAAGGATTAAAATTAACAGTTATCTCTGCTAGAATAATGATTGTTTTCTCCTTTACCTCTTTGAGTATTTTCCAGATTTCATGACAGGCATTACTTTTATAAGCTTACATCATATTTGAAATAAATTTTTAAAATAAGGATCCTATATTAAACAAGGCTGTATGTTCAGAAATTACAAGGAAAACCAATATTTTTAAAACAGGAATCATCACAAGATAAATTTTGAGACGGAAAAGCAGACATGTGATTCAGTTAGAACATATACATTTAAATTCATCATTGCTACAAATAAACATTTTATAAACTTCCTCTAGGACAATGATTTTAATAAAGATGAGTCAACTACTGATTTCAACATTAGCACAATTGAGAAGTAAAAATTTAAAATATTTCCTTCCACTCTTCAGACACAAACTAATTTGAATAAAAAACACACGCACATGCACACACACGTGCACACAGAAGCTTGCTACTAAAATTCTGACAGGGCAAGTCCCCAAATTGCCTTTTACACTAAAGCTCAAACAGTTGTCTGTCACTGCTATTACTATGAGTAATCCTTGCAGCTGTAACTGTTTGAAATGCAGCTGTCTCGTTGGCATTCTCTCCCCACCCCCAGCCATGCAGCATTTCTGTTCTTGCTACAATAATCTTAAAGAGCATTTTACAGGAGGCTTAGCCCTGGCTGAGGGCACTCTACGGCGTGACCGAGAGAACATGGAAACACGATTCATTAGACACGCCTGGAGTGATAACAATGGTGCTGCTTCTTACTGCCTTTCATTTCGTACATCAGGCTGAGACTAATGCATTCTCGTTACACAACAAGCACATTTATAGACAGGGGAAAACTGTAATCACCTTTGATTAAGAGACAGCATATTTTTCCTATATGAGCTGCCAGCCATACTGACATAGTAATTATTTTTTAACTGACAGGTTAAAATAGCAAATGTAGCAAAAATAACATCTGCAGAGAGAGAGAGAAAGACGAGAGAGAGAGAGAGAGAGAGAGAGAGACAGAGACAGAGAGAGACAGAGAGAGACAGAGAGAGACAGAGACTGACTGACTACTGTGAAGACTTGGTGCACAAAGGTTTCTTTAGACCAAACTCAGTGCCATCTCCTTGAGACCTGATGGGTACCTTGGCTTTTATTTCAGCTTGACAGTCTATGGCAAATATTGCAGAAAGACTCTTACAGAAATTCATTCTATAAATCCAATTTTTTGGAGGCAGAAATTACAAAATTATTTTTGTCACTGAAACAGTAATGACTATTGGTCTACCTTCTTTCCACTTCTTTCACTATAGGACTAGAAAATTCAACAGTAGTATCCTTTTTTCCATTATCTTACAACAAAATAATTTGTTCTCTTCACTTTGTTATCTACTTTTACTAGATAATAATTTGTTTTCCTTAATATAAAATGCTACTCCAAGACAGAAAAAAAACTGCTTTCTACTATACCACAGTTTATAAAATGTAACTTTGGTTAAAAACAAGAATGTAGAATAATTAGATCAGTCTATCATTTCACTTAACGCCCATCAATCCCTGCACCTGGTGAAGGTTTTAACTGTAAATATAAAGGCCCTAATTTAAATTAGAAAAAAGTCATAAGCCACATTATACTGACAACATATAAAGTCAGTTTTCTTAAGGAATTTTAAAAAGTGAACCACCTTTCCATACACACAAATGCAATCTTCTGTTGGTTTACACATGTGTGTTGCTGGGTTGTAGTTTATAGAGAATTTGGTAGTTGACAGGAAAAAAATATTTGTCATAAATTGAAAGATCATAGTTAAACCAAAATATTGGAAAATACTTTTTCAAAGTTAGCAGTCTGTACAATTAAGCAATTAAAAAGTCTCTTTTTTAAGCTTTCTACAACACTATTGATTTTTACACTAAGAATGTGCTACAAAATAAAACAATTTGCACATGTGAAAATTTGTTAAGACAGAAAAGAAAACTAACCAATAATAAAAAAAAGTTAAGTCTGGTTCACAAAACTTTGAAACCTGTAATAGCTTTTCAAAAAATAATTATGTAGCCAGGCAATGTGGCAGGAGCCCATAATCCCAGCTATTCAGGCTGCTGAGGTGGGAGGACACATGAGCCCGGAAATTCAAGGCCAGCCTGGGCACTACAGTGTGATCCCATCTCAATCAATCAATCAATCAATGCAAACGGTTATGTACATACAACAAACAAATTTTTGTAAAACAGCAAAATGCTTTAATAATTTTAAATAGTAGGATTTTAGAGTTTTCTGACCTGTGCTACCACAGCAGGTTAGAAACTAGAAAATGTGTAGCCTAACTCTGATATGTCTATAAATGGACCACTGAACACTAATGTGCACTTAAACACAGTGTATTTTGAAGAGAAGTTTTTATGTGTCCCACACAATTTTAGAATTACACAAGCTTAAAATTTTCATCATCTGAAATCAAACAATGAGTCTTATTACAGAAGATAACATCTATACAATTTCTACTGTCGGTGCCCAATCCATGTCTCTCTTATTTTGGTTTTCTGTACTGTGTGAAGTCATGACTCCCCCAAAACTAATCAAATTACTTCTGCATACTTTCCCTGTTTGTCTTCTTTTTGGAAAAGACAAAGTTAATCATCAGTATAAAACATGTCACCACACATTAAAAATTTTTATTTTAAAAACATTTCAGTTTAAATGTATTCTTAGTAATCAGAACATTTTACTTTCATAAACAACTATGGTTTACATATGAATTTCTGTTACAATTATCTGGCTCTTAATAGAATCACAAATTATTATTCTCAACTTTTAAAAGACAGAATGTACAATTCTCCCCTTGTGTCTTCAAAATTAATTTGTTTATGAATGCAAAAACAACCTATTGGAAAGCAATAAAAGTTTCTCAAAACTTTTAAGTTAAAATATATCCAGGAAAAGTTGTCATTATCCAAAACTTAAGCCAAGAAGTTTCCAACTCATAAGCAAAAAATTTATAAATGACCTAAACACACCAACACTGCCAATATTTTTACTTCATGTTGGTGTTTCAACTCTACAAGATTCCTTTGCATTAACAAGTCAATATGAAAACTGCAAGTCCTTTAGGAAATAAAGGTCAGTTATTTACAGTCGCAGTGGTGTGAATGAGTTCAATCCTATGTTCTTTCGAAATCTGGCTAGAATGGCATTTTGGTTGCAAAGTTAAGTAACACCGTTGTTTTGGATAGGGCACAGTCTGGAGTAGGGCAGGCCTGGGCGGCTCCCATAACACAAGGTGCAGTGGTTTCTTCCTGTGGTCCTTGGAGTACTAGAGTCCTGTGCAAGAGCCCCAGTGAGTCCCTCTGGCCCTTTCCATCTCCAGTCTCAACCAGGACAGCTGCAGTTTTATCCAGTTGTAGTTTTAGCCATTATAACTTAGGAAGTTCTACAGAGAGCTCACTTGAAAAGGTATTACAAATAAATACAAAGAGTTTGCAAAGAGGATAGAATTTGCAAATTACCAGAAAAGTTGAAAGAATAAATCAAACCAAAAACCCAAAAAGCCTGAGCCACTGGGCAATGCTAACACTTCACTGGCTCTGTTGCTTCTTTTATAGTTATCTTTACTTTCTTTGAGATTCTTTCCCACTCATATTGCATAATTCTAACAAACTGCACTAGAATGTGGGAAAGCCTTCCAAGACAGATTCTGAGGATTTTAAATGTTTATAAAGTGAAGTCCTAACCAATCTACCCCTTCTAGTTACAAAACCCAGGACCCAAACCAACACTGGTCAAGCATTACAGACTAAATCAGTTTGATAGGCAGGCCTTAGAATCTACCCACCATTCAGAATAGATTTTTCATAGGTTAAAAAATATATATATTTTCCAAATAATTAACTTACAAATTATCTTTTGAAACATAGGCTATCAATAGTTTGTCAACTGGTGCTTGAGTATATTAATTCTTCTTTCCATAGTTTAAATACCAGCTATTAAAAAGCATAACAATAAAAGTTACTTTATCACTTTAAAAGACAGAGTTTTGATAGTGATGGAGCTCTCAGAAAGATTTTTGGTTGCCTGTAGTATTTCTTGGGAGCTATATTAGATCTGTTATATAATAATTCATTTCTTTTGTATGAAATTTTGTTTGTTATAACTCATAATTTAAAAACATTTTTTCAATTCCGATTCAAAAACGAAAAATACATATGAGATAATAGGTTAAAAGTTCAACTGTATATACATCATGATCTCAACTTTTCAGATGTGTGCTTAAATATCTGTAATGGAATAAACAAAAATTATAATTACTATAAATCTTTACCCAAACTTTTTATACTAAATTTTAAATATAAGTACCCCTATGTAGTCCGTTAAACAGTTACTACTCTAACTAAAATATAGATATATTCAAAGGCAATATTACCCACTCAGAATAACTCAGCAGTTCAGATGATAAAGAAAATAACCTAAAGAAACAGTAAACATAAAACAGCTGTTTGGACAGAAGATATACTAACACTTTGTAAAGTACAGAAATTGTCATCCCGTTTCTTTTACAATCCAGCTTCATCAAGAAGCAAAGCTTTTTAAACTAGTCTCCCTGCTTTCACTCAAAGCACCTGAAGTCCATTATTCATGAGAGCCAAAGTAATCTTTTTCAAACCTTAAGTCACATCGTAGCATCCTGCCTCTTAAAGCCTTATTTTAATGGCTTCTCATGGAATTAATAATCTATTTAATAAGCTCCTTACCATGGCCTACAAGGCTCCACCTGATCAAACCTCTGTCTACCTCTTCCAACACCCTCTGTGTACTCATTTCAACAGCACTGGCCTTCTTTTTTCCAACAAAGTGAGCTCAAGACATCTGACTTCCTTTTCCTGTATCTGGCTGTCTCCTCCAAGCGGCATTCCCTACCTGACCCTCTAATGGAAAGTAGTCCTGTCCCAGTCAGTCACTTTCTCATCTATTGCTTTGTAGCAGACAACTGTAAGAAATTATTCATTTACTACTTGTCTTCTCACCCACAAAGAAGAATGTCAGCACGATATGTACAAGGGCAATGTCAATCCTTGTGTGCTTACTATACTGCAAAGAACCTTCCACAGAGAAAAACATTGTGACCCTGAGGAAAACATTCAAAGTGGAGCAAAATGCAACCTAATATGATTCTAAGGATTTTTATACTACGCAAAATAGCCAAACAGACACGTTTATAAAAGGCTTAGCTTTTCTTCCTACTGACAATTGAAGGCTCTTACTTGAACCCTTGATAATCAACAAGATTAGAATGACTAATGAAGGGTATTCTTGAGGAAAAAAAAAAACAAGAAAATAAATTAAAATACCACAATAAACTCACAATGTAAAGTAGTTACTGTCATGAAGTGGGTCTCCTAAGAGTTTAATGTTTTAAAATCAGGCAACTTTAACTTATAAAACTTCTATCCCAATAAGAAACATTTAGAAATGGAATTAACTCTTTATTCTCTTTCCTATGCATAATTCATTCTACTTATCAACTCTATAGGCTATTACTACAGATGATAGCTCTTAATCACTATAAATTTACAATGTCCTATCAGTCGTGTTCATTATATCTGAAATAACAAAATAAAGTTACACAGTTATGGAGTGATATTAAATTAAATTCATATTACATATTGATGTAAGTGCATGTAAACAAGAATAGGGCATATGTGTTCCATGTTCCATTCTATTAGGTACAATGAGCTAAGGTCCCTACAGTATTTATCATAAGCCACATCTACAAAGGTTGAGGAATCTTTTATTTTCCCTTGAAGAATGAGGGGGAACATAATGCAAAAAAAAATAAAAGTGGAAAAATGCTGTAGCAGCATTTTTGTGGACGTTTTAGTAATTTTATATTATTTTCTTCCTGGAAAATCAGCTTCCATATAATTATTCTCAAGTATCTCTGGCTTATTCATACACCATATTTTTGTGATTGTTTCTCACCAATTTTTAAAACAGAATTATTTTTAATAAAGTATAACTCAAGGCTGGGCATGGTGGCTCATGCCTGTAATCCCAGCACTTTGGGAGGCCGAGGCAGGTGGATAAAAATATTTATCATCTATTTGAGGATAACCCAAATATTATACTCTGAGACAGATTACTAAAAATCCCATTTTCAGGAGAGTTATTAAAATGAAGGTGAAGAGAGAAGAAACTGAAATACAATGGCTCTTTTAAATCAGCTAGACAACTATTCACTATTCGTATTCATTTTGTATCCTTCAGTCTAGAAAAAGCAAGGCCCTTTTTAACTTTCAATTAGTCATACACTGTCCTGTTTATTTTTTCTCTAGCCATTTTGCCCCTTTGGAGGTGAACGTAAATTAAATCAAAGACATATAACACACAGACACTAATTTGGGAGTGGATTTTTGCCTACCCAAACCAGACATTACGCCTTGGCAAGGGAGCAGCTCTGTATAAATAAGACTATTCACAAGATAGAAATGATCAGCACAGGCCGGGCACGGTGGCTCACGCCTGTAATCCCAGCACTCTGGGAGGCCAAGGTGGGCGGATCACCCAAGGTCAGGAGTTCGAGACCAGCCTGGCCAACATAGTGAAACCCCATCTCTACTAAAAATACAAAAATTAGCTGTACATGGTGGCGCGTGCCTGTAGTCTCAGCTACTCTGGAGGCTGAGGCAGGAGAATCACTTGAAACAGGGAGGTGGAGGTTGTAGTGAGCCGAGATCGTGCCACGGCACTCCAGCCTGGGCAACAGAGTGAGACTCAGTCTCAAAAAAAAAAAAAAGAAAGAAAGAAAGAAAGAAAGAATGAAATGATCAGCACATATCCATTTACCTCAAGAGTAGTCACCAAAACTTCAAAGTGCCATTAAGAACAGCATCAATGCTTTTGTCTAAAAGATCTCAGAGGCTCTATAACAGACCCTTGATATCATAAACATTCATGACTTTCCAGGAAACCAACAGGTTTCTTAAACTCACAAAAAACTGCCTAAACATTTTTGATTAACTATGAAAATCATACTCTCCTTTGAAAGTGATCATACTTGTATAAATTTAAGAAAAAAAATCTTGGCCACACTGGAATAACATAAAAATGTTTTATACTTGCTTTACTTTAGTTCAGGTTAAGAATGACTATTTTAAAAATAAAACTCTCCAGATTGTGCAGCTTCAATTTTCCACTGCTCATTTTCTATGACAATCTGACCAAGAATTCCCCACAGCCACCCGCTAGGAGGGGAAAGAAAAGCTGATACCCTAAAACCTCATTCAAGAAAAATAAGCATCTCTGACAACATGTCTAGTTTTTCCAAAAATATTAATGAAAAGGTAACGGTATCATAAACTGAAAGGCTGTTTTAGAAATGAGCAAGTCAAGCTTGACAAAAGGCCAAAAAGGACTTTCTGGAAAGAATGATAAGCATCTTGGAATCTCACTTCTCTCACACACTGAGCTCCAATCTGCAGCCTTTTCCCTTCAAGCCAATGCACTTGATGGGTGTGATAACAGATGGATCATTGTATCTGCCAACTTCCTGTGATGTACTGTATGGGGACTGATAATTTAGTGACTACAGAAGTTCTACAACAGACAATGCAAGCAATACTGGCATTCAGTAAGTAGCTGCATGCAGTCCTCTAACAGCCTGTAGGTGTTGAATATATGTGGATTATTGTACAATATAAGCTCTGAACAAGTATCTAAGCCATTTAAAAAAAAAAAACCTTAAAACTGAGCAAGCTAAGAATTAACTAGAAAAATAAACAGGAAGGAACAAGTATATCTTATGTTCAAAGTGACATTTTCACTTAAACACACATGAAAAAGCTTTGAACAATGTATGTTTTATTAAAGTTTTATAAGCAGGTTAACATAGAAAAATACATGTATATTTTAAAAGTATACATTGTGGGCTTGGTTTTCAGGCTTCACAATCTGAAGTTACAACAACCAAAAAATGTCTCCAACCATTGCCAAATGTCCTCTGGGGGGTAAAAAATCTCTCCTGTTGAGAACCACTGAAGAAGACAGTCTAAAGTTCCACTAGTTCAATTCTAATGCTTATTTTGGAGAGAAAGGAAGGATTATAAGGAAAGGAGATTGTTTATTTATGGAAATTATACACAAAATAATCAAACATAATCCATATTGTATGTGCCAGCTAAGCACATATTATAATACTAAACAGAGGAAAGGCTGTATCAAGATTCAGCACGCAAACTGTTCACCAGGTTGCACAGCAAATTGGAAAGGCAACCTCCATTAACCAGCATAAGTATGCTTACTTCTCTTTGCAAAACAGAAAAAAATTCACAGCTCTGCCACAACACTGTGTACAAATGATACTAAAGGTACTTCCTTCTCAAATCCTCATCAAATAAACTCTGCATTACGCTGGGCACAATGTCCAGAACTGTCATCTTTAACAGACGTTACGATGAAACTCTCTAGGTTTTAGGTTCTGGTTAAAAAAGAACCTTCACATTTATGTATATACATATGTTTTTGTGTGCATGTATCATTCAAAATCCCATTGCAATCACATTTTAGAAATAGCAGTACCAAGGCTGGGCACACCTGTAATCCCAGCACTTTGGGAGGCCAAGGAAGGCAGATCGCTTCAGCTCAGGAGCTCAAGACCAGCCTGGGCAACATGGCAAAACCTTATCTCTACCAGAAATACAAAAAAGTTAGCTGGGAGTGGTGGCACACGCCTGTAGTCTCAGCTTACTCAGAAGGCTAAGGTGGGAGAATCACTTGAGCCTAGGTGGCCAGAGGTTGCAGTGAGCCGAGATCACGCCACTGCACTCCAACCTGGGTGGCAGAGCGCAACTCCATCTCAAAAAAAAGAAAAACGCCAGGTGCGGTGGCTCATGCCTGTAATCCCAACACTGTGGGAGGCCAAGGCGGGCGGATCACCTGAGGTCAGGAGTTCGAGATCAGCCTGGCCAACACTGTGAAACCCCGTCTCTACAAAAGTACAAAAAAAATTAGCAGGTCATGACGGCAGGTGCCTGTAATCCCAGCTACTCAGGAGGCTCAGGTGAAGAATCACTTGAACCTGAGAGGCAGAGACTGCAGTGAGCCGAGATCGTGGCATTGCACTCCAGCCTGGGCAAGAGAGCAATACTTCGTCTCAAAAAAAAAAAAAAAAAAAAAATCAGTACCAAATAAAATACTAGCACATTATTTTACTGGCACATCTCTGGGACCTGCCACATGTACTCAAATTACTGGGCAGAGGATTAGTTTGTCATTTTTGCAGCAACTCTACTGTAATACCATTCTCTAAGTCTAAAGCACAAAATCTCTTTTAAAATATTATCGGATACTACAAAACATTAGCATTTGGAGTAAATGTCCTACACTCAAACTAAGTATGCTATTTCCACATGGAAATGTGATTTTCTTCTCTTTTCTACTTGCTTTTTTTTTTCCCTTGCAATTTCACTATATGCTAATTCTGAGCTACAAGGTGAAAAGAAAGGGAAGAAACAGGTCGGGTGCAGGGGCTCACATCTGTAATCCCAACACTTTGGGAGGCCGAGGTGGGTGGATCTTTGGGGTCAGGAGTTCGAGACCAGACTGGCCAACATGGCGAAACCCTGTCTCTACTAAAAATACAAAAATTAGCCGGGTGTGGTGGTGTGTGCCTGTAATCCCAGTTATTCAGGAGACTGAGGCAGGAGAATCACTTGAAACAGGGAGGCAGAGGCTGCAGTGAGCCGACACTGCACTCCAGCCTGGGTGACAAAGCGAGACTCTGTCTCAAAAAAAAACAAAAAGGAAGGCGAAGGGGAGGAAAGGAAGAAAGAGGAAAAACAGACTAACTGCAGGGAATGAAACGGTATCACTTGCTGCACAGTTGCAATTCCCTTGTTAGGAAAAAATAAAACTAATAATATTTGAAAACTATAAGTTTGATTTACTACTGATAACACCAGGCATAAAGAGAAGAATCTTTGACCATTCGATAGAAGGAAAATGAGTGAATGGGCACAATTATCTCCAACTAGTAAAAGCCAATAGCACTGTTCAAAAAAATGAGAACCAATCTCACCAGAGTTTGTTTTCTTTTTACTATGTGAGCAGACTTGAGTTTAAAATTTCCAAACTGTACTCACAAAACACAGTACTTTCTCTTGCAACACTTTCCCTGTGAGTCAACATTGCCTAAAAGTCCAATATTGAGTTTTCTTCTACCTGTAGGACTCTTAATGTTAAGAGGAGCAACAGGAAGTGCTAACAATCTGGAAACAGCCTGTGCCTGAAGAAGAGCTCAATTCAGCATGACGGTAGACCAGGCTGGTACTGTAACTCTTGGTTCTGCTCAGAAGCTGGTCTTAACGGGCTCTAGGACCATGGTAACTCATGTGAGGCCCCTAGATATAGGCAGGCAGGCCCCTGAGCCCACAGTTCGCCCCATCTGACAAACAATATTTTCCAAAGATAGCTCACAATATATCCCATATTACATGCCTTTTCTTACAGTGCGACACTATCAGTCTTCCTATCAAGTGATAGGATCAATATTCCCTCCCCTGGATCTGGGTAGCTCTTTGTAACTGCCTCAACAAACAAAATATGGCCGAAGTGACTGTATGTTAGTCTCCAAGTCCAGAGCATAAGAAACTGATAGTCTCCACATCTGCACTCAGGAAGATCACTTTTGGAGTGCAACCACCCTGCTGTGAGGAAACCTAGTCCACACGGAGCAGCCACATGTAGTTCTTCTGGCCAACTGTCTCAGCTGACATCTCAGCCAAAAACCAGCATCGACCACCAGCTATGTGAATAAAAACACCTCCCGAGGCAATCAGCCCCCAGCCTGACAGAAAGACTGCAGTCTTGGAGCCCTTCCAGTGGAGCCCTCAGACATCCTGGAGCAAAAACTACTGGTCCCTATTGTGCCCTGTCTTAAGTTCTGACCCACAGAGTCCATAGGCATAATAAAATAAACTGTTTTTTGCTACTGAGTTTTGATATTAGATGATATACATCCAGTGCAACCACTGTCCCAGGCAGAGTAGATTCATAACTCATTCACAAAAACAAAATTATTGTACTTCACACTAGTTTTGCAGTAACATAATCTGGATGATTAGTGTTGGATGATAAATCATTAAGGTAGAAGCAGTATACTGAGAGACGAACTAAATTTCAAAGGCACCCGATTTCATTTTAGAAAGCACATTATGAACAAAAAGATACAGATTCAGTGAAATGAAATGCTGAATTTACAATTTATATTACATATTAATAAGAAAATTTTTATGAGAACCCTGGTGATATAACAGGGTACTAGGACGGTCTCAGCGGTGAAGCAAACTGGCTATGTGGCTGAATTTTAATTCATGTATCTATTCATTCAGCAAGTGAATGGATATGATATCTTAGGCACTATTATAGGGGCTGAAAATTCAGCAGTGAACAGATTTTTCATAAAACTTTCATTTTAGTTGAGAGAGGCAGAGAGTAATAATTTTACTTATATAAAATTATTCAAACCCCTGTTAAATGCAAGTTAAATGCAATTAAGTCTTTTACCTTATTTACCTAAAAGACAACATGTCTTTTAACCCATGTTAACCATGTTATGCTATTTACGATGATACGCCAGTTTTAAAACAAGACCCCAAGTGTCTGACACTCCTCCCACTGAGAGGTAAGGCCTGTATTTCTTTCCCTTAAAAAATAGGATTTATGGTTGCTTCAAGGAAGGAGTAGGATGAAAGCAACACCATGTGGCCGGGCGCAGTGGCTCACACCTGTAACCCCAGCACTTTGGGAGACTGAGGCAGGCGGATCACGAGGTCAGGAGATGGAGACCATCCTGGCTAACACTGTGAAACCCTGCCGCTACTAAAAATACAAAAAATTATCCGGGTGTGGTGGCATGTGCTTGTAGCCCCAGCTACTAGGGAGGCTGAGACAGGAGAATCACTTGAGCCTGGGAGGCAGAGGTTGCAGTGAGCTGAGATTGTGCCACTGTACTCCAGCCTAGGCAACAGAGCGAGACCCCGTCTCAAACAAACAAACAAACAAAAAAGCAAGTGACAACACATAATCTCTATGGGTAGGTTAGAAAAGCCATGCAAGCTTCCATCTCATTCACTGGAACACTCGCTCTGAAAGTCCTGAGTAATAAATCTAACTCCTCTGAGGCCACTATGCTGAAAGGAAGCCTAAGTTACATGGAAAGGCTACTTGTAGGGACTCCAGTCAACAATCCTAGCTCATCCATGCCCTCACATGAGTCACAAATGTGAATAAAAAGGCCTCCAGATGATCTTGGCACCCAGCCATTCAATTATACTAGCTTTGCCAGCTGAAGGTCGAGACATCACAGTGCTGAAACAAACCATATCTATTATGCCCTTTCCAAATTCTTGACCTAAAGAACCTGTGAACATAATGAAATGGTTGCCATTTTATGCCACCAAATTTGGGGTGGTTTGTTACACAGCAAAGGATAACTGGAGCAAGTGGTAAGATCACACTATAATATAAGGAAGTAGTATTTGTTCTAAGACCTAATGCTATCAAGGAACCAGGCTCGTGAGATGAAGGAATAGCTATTCAAATAGGGAGAGGAGCAAGTACATGTCCCTAAAGCAGGAAGAAACTTTAGTATAAGTCAATCAGATACACAAAGGCTAGCTGATCAGTTTTGTGATCCTTGATGAGTTATCCAGAAACTATGTTCAGTATACACAGAAGCCACTGTGCTGCTTCAAGTGGGGCTGTTTTTCAAAGATTCCCTTTTTTTTTTTTTTTTGGTGGACAGAGTCTCACTCTGTTGCCCAGGCTGGAGTGCAGTGGCACGATCTCGGCTCACTGCAACCTCCGCCTCCTGGGTTCAAACAATTCTCTGCCTCAGCCTCCCGAGTAGCTGGGATTACAGGCACCCGCCACCATGCCCGGCTAATTTTTGTATTTTTAGTAGAGATGGAGTTTCACCATCTTGGCCAGGCTGGTCTTGAATTTCTGACCTCATGATCCACCTGCCTCGGCCTTCCAAAGTGCTGGGATTACAGGCGTGAGCCACTGCACCCGGCCTCAAAGATTCTTTTGGCTGTTGTTGTGTCTCTTGATGTTTAATGAGGAAACTGAACTAAGTGCTATGGTCCCTTCATATCTACCATGCAAATAAGTGTTTCTCAAATTGGGGCTCTAGAAAATCCTTAAGCTTAAAATTAATGCTTATTTGTGCTCATCAGAATGATCTTCTCATAACTGAGTATCACCACACAATCTCAAGGCTAATGAGAAGAGAACACAGACCAAAAAATAAGTGTGTATGTGTGTGTGTATGAGAGAGAGGGAGAGAGAGAGAAAGAACGATGCATTCACGCCAAATGAAGCCACAGTAAGTTATGCTAAAGTTTTACAGCATTTCAAACAAGAGGAAATGGTGGAAGACTTGAGTCATCACACCATCCACAGAACAGGCAAGCCAAAATTAAACAGATTTGTTTCTAAGAAGTCAGTACCAAATTTTTGCTATGAACAGAAACCTGCGTTCAAGTAAACATCAGGTGGCATATAATATTATGCTCTTAATCTGTATTTTTATCAGCTATAGTTTTGATTATATTTAACCTATAAAACCATTTCAGTTTTATAATCATATAGTAGCTAGAAGCATAATATAATCAAGTGTTTACATTAATAAGAGTGAACATAAACTGGTGACCTTCACAACATAGTAACACATATTACATGCACACTTTCATGAACATTTGATTTTCCTGAATAAACTTGAGATCCTAGGTGAACCACACCAATTATTTTAAGTTAACATAAACAGAAGACAATTGAGGTAAATCATCAGTAAAAATTTAAAAACCAAAAATAAGTTATTTTGAAATAATTCTGTGTTGGAATAGTCTTCTCCTTCCAACTCTGTCTTTACATGGCTAAATCCTTTTCATTCTTCATTCCCTGTATGAACATCTCAGGCCACTGCAGCCCAAATTTTGAGCATCTCTAAACTACCAGATATTGTCTATGCCATTCCTACACCTGCTGCTTGACATTGTTCGCTATTTTGTGCATCCTTCTTGTCACTAAGATGAATGATGATGTAGTGATAATGGAAGTAGTGGTGGTGGTATGATAAAGATGAGGACAACAATGGCAGTAGCTATCAATTACTCAGTGATAATTTGTGTTCCAATAACATAATTCACCTCCATAATACTCTTATGAGGTAGACAAATATAATCTCCACTTTACAGATATAGAAATCAAGTAACAGGAATTATGTAATTTTCTCAAGGCCAAAAAGATAACAAATGAATGAGCTAGAAACAGAAAACTCTGGTCTGCTTTGTAACACCAGTATTAAACAAAGTATGGGCCTTTGGAAACTCACGGGGTTTCAGAATCACAGAGGATGTGAAAGCTGGGTAAAAATTATGAGGTACTCATAATTTTGAAGTACTCATAAATTATGAGGTACTCCAAGTGACATTAAAATCCCAGGGAAACAGGCTTTGGAATCTATTAACAAGCTTTCCAAGTATATTCTTATATTGAAGATTAAGCAGCAGACTGCACCCAGCGTTATTTTGCCTCCATCTAGACTATGGTATTTCTGAGAATACAGACAACTTGTATAAACTTGTCTAAAAAATACGGTGTTGTACCTTGGAAACAGTAAGAGCTCAATAAATGCTTGTTACTTTTATACCTTTATAATGAGGTAATTTTTTTTTTTTTTTTTTTTTGAGATGGAGTTTTGCTCTTGTTGCCCAGGCTGGAGTGCAATGGTGCGATCTCAGCTCACTGCAACCTCCGCCTCCCAGGTTCAAGCAATTCTCCTGCCTCAGCCTCCCGAGTAGCTGGGATTACAGGCGCCTGCCACTACATCCGGCTAATTTTGTATTTTTAGTAGAGACAGGGTTTTACCATGTTGGCCAGGCTGGTCTCGAACTCCTGACCTCAGGCAATCCGCCCGCCTCAGCCTCCCAAAGTGCTGGGATTGCAGGCGTGAGCCACCACGCCCGGCCTGACATAAATTTTTAAAACCCATTATTTCAATTCTATATTTGTTAAAATCTAGAAGGATCTAAATACTCTACAAAATAAATTTTATAAAACATAGCCCTATTGTTTAGGTATTTAAAGCCTAGACTTAGGAGAAAAAAATTTTAATTTCAATAATTTTCAAGGACTTTTTACATATCAGGGTTTGTTGCTGTTACGTACAGGGACTGGAGTACAGGACAGGGAAGGGTGGTAACAACATTGAAGCTGTAAAGAAAGTGAAAGAACTGAAGACCTCTTGGGTGGTCCCTGGAATTCTCTCTCAATGTTCTTTTCTGCAAGGGAAGCAGCGGCCAAGCTGGAATGCTCACAAAGCTACAGCGTCTTTTTATGGGTTCCATCTAGCTCTAGAGTTTTATGATTCAGTAAGGTGGGTGGTAAATTAAGCTGCTGCTGTCTTCCCACAGACTTGTTTGTGGCCATCAGGACAAATCTGGGGAAGCTCAATTAACACATGTCTGACCTTGGTCAAGTCATAATTCCTCAAAAAACATCTGCAATATTGTGACCTAACAGAAAATTCTAAGCAAATGTTAGTCATTGACAGTGAAATGTGTGAACACTTTATTCTGCAGCATTTTTTGTTTCATTGTGTTTAACCAATCATTCTAAGCCAGTAAAGTTCAAAGTGTTTTAAGATAACTAAAATCTCTGACTTGGGATGTTCTCTTTAGTATTTAAGATGAAAGGGAAGAAAAAAGTGATTTCAAATCAAACCTCCCTTAAGTGCCTATTTGACTAGTAACTGCTTAAATTCAGGGTGATTCACACATTTGGTTAATGAAGGACACCATGAAACCTAACATAGTTGAGACATATTCCTGGAATTTCTGAATCCACAATGATTACCACCTTTGTTTTAATAAAAGTGGTCAAGAAGAGACTGGACTGTAGATGAGACACTGAACTTTCACTAGAAAAACATAAATGCACTTATATGCCAAGCCCTCACACTGCTAAGCAAAGACCCCCTGAGTCAAGAACATCACAGAGTATGCGTCTCAAATCTTAACTATGCCAACATTTCACGGTTTGAAAAAAGTAAACTTTATACAGTGTCCTATATGTCACTGTTGCATAAACTAAAAGATAAAACACACAGCAATTCAATGATGATTGATGAAAACTTATAGGTTCGCTAAATTACACTCACCTGGAAACAATGCATTATAATGCAGATTCTTCTTTTTTCAAAGAAGGGTATCACATTCTCTAGAGAAAATACTGCCTTTCAGGGGTCAGTATTATAAATCCGCCAAGTGATCCCAGTTCAAAATTGAAATGTTTTGTCACCTAACATCAAAGCTTTAAAAATGTTTTTACACTTACCTTCATTTAAGAAAAAGGATAAATGACCCTCTTACAGTTACCATAAAATATTATTATAAAAAATATTTTCCCAATCTGATTTTAAACTCAAGGGTAGAGAATATGTCGTTTATCTCTTTTGTCGCACATAGTACCTAGCAAACGGTATTAACAATATGCTTGCTGAGTGTGCTTTAAATATTTGCTGGATAGGCCGCGTGTGGTGGCTCACGTCTGTAATGCCAGTACTCCTGAGGTCAGGAGTTCGAAGCCAGCCTGGCCAACATGGTGAAACCCCATCTCTACTAAAAATACAAAATTTAGCCAGGCATGGCAGCACACACCTATAATCCCAGCTACTCAGGAGGCTGAGGCAAGAGAATCACTTGAACCAGGGAGGCGGAGGTTGCAGTGAGCTGAGATTGTGCCACTGCGCTGCAGCCTGGGCAACAAAACCAAAACTCCATCTCAAAAAAAAAAAAAAAAAAAAAATTGCTGGATAAATAGATGAATGCCAACTAACACAGTTTCCAAAGGCAGACAGGACCTTTAAAACTATTTTAAGAGTATACTTTCTTTTTATAACTCACCTAGGAACAAAATTGTCACAAAGAAAAATCTGCATAAAGTGAACAAAAACATACTCCCCCCCTTTCCCAGCATGCTCTATTCTCATTATCCTGCTTTATTTTCTTCCAGAGCATTTACTACCATGTAACATACTTAATATTTATGCGTGATTATTGTCTACCTCCTCATCCCATTCCCAATTAGAGTGTAAGTTTAATGAAGGTAAAGATTTGCCTGTTTGTTTCAAGGTTATATCCTCAGTTCACAAAATGTGTGTCCTGGGATACATTAAACATTCAATGACTATTGAATCTATCTTCAGGATTCATTACCAGTGTTACTGTTTGTTCTAGCAGTATTTTTAGAGCTCTAGTTACACAGTGACAAATGAGGATGTTTTACAGATATGTACATATATGTGTACCCACACACATATATAGATACAAACAAAAATTATTTCATCTCTCATGAAATGTTGCTATCTCTAAGGTTTTTAAACAGAGCAGCTACCGGGAAAGGAACATGTTAGAGGAAGCAAATCATCACATCCAAGTCTAACTACAAAAAGGACCCAGAAAAGTACGTAATTACAAAAACTGGTTTGAAAACAAAACTTTCAACAACAATCAGTCATCCCTAAAGTTAAATCTCTCTGGAGCAGAAACTGATTCAGCATCGACTTACAAATTATCGCATTACTAACATCAGGTCTTGCAACAACTGAATTTATCTTAGGGAGGCTTCTAACTAAAGTCCATCCTACTCTGTAGGAAAAGTGGCTGAAATGATAGTCATCACATTTAATCTAATTAATTTCTAAATACTCATCTGCTTTGTTAGACTATAAATTCCTTGTCCAAAGGGGCAGCTATGTCTGTTGTGCTGTTTGTTTCCTTCAACTGGTAATTATTTCATTATTTGTTTAAATGTGTGGATTTTTTAAAATCTGTCTCTAATCGTGAGAGCAAAGAGACACACAGGGCTAAGCACAACAAATAAATATGTGTTGAACTGAATTCAACACAGAGATCAAGATGCCAATAAAATTAACCTTCAAACCACAACCTTATGACAAGGCAATTCAGTTATCATATTAAATATCCATACTAGGTACCTAATATGAAGGCAATTAAATAAGCCACAATTAATCTGTTAACATTCTGTATTCAAACCAATATTAAAGCTATGCATAACTAGTTATTGTAATTATATAAATGAAGGGCTATAAACATTAGGTGGCAGCAGCAGTACACTGTATTATAATCCTGAAGTTGATTTTTTTCATATATAGAAATCTGACCCAGAAATAGGGTTACACAGATAGCTTCATATATAAAATATACAAAACGAACTGAAAACACAGTAACAAAATATGCAAATACAATTATTCCTTTGTATCCAGATTTTTAAAATTATTATTTCTATAAATAAAATAATTGAGCAGTGCCAAAGTGTTGGCAGTTTTCTATAAATGTATTGAAATTTTTGCTTTATCCTAACTCTCTTGACAGTCTACATCCAGGTAGCCAGCTCTACCTTCAGAATGATATCTAGAACGTGAGCACTTCTCACCACCCTCACCACAGGGACTCTGGTGGAAGCCGTCCCCATCATCAACCTGGATCATGACAATAGCCTCCCGTGGGACCTCTGCTTCTGTGCTGGCTCTCCCCAACCCAGTGTCTTCTCCATGTGGTAGCTAGAGGAATCCCTTAAAATGGTTAAGTTAGCTCACTCATGAGCTAACTGGGTCTGCTCAGAACCCTTCAATGGCTTCTCAACTCTGAGAAAGGTTCCACTCTGGTCTTTAGCATCCTTCATAAATTGTCCCCCACACCCTACCCCAGCTTCACGCCCACTGCTCTTCCCCTTGCCCACACCACTTGAGCCATACTGGTCCTTCATCAGACCAATTATACTCTACCCGATGACCTTTGTATTTACTGTTCTCTCTCCCTGAAATGCTCTTCTGACAGATATCCATCCCCACACCTCTTTTAGGTCTCACCTCATATGCCACCCAATCAGACTTTCTCTGACTACCCTACTTAAAATAGCAACCATCCTCCTTCACTGCTTCATTTTTCTCCATGTCACTAATCAGCATCTGGTATATTTTATGTGTTTACTTCTTTACTATCTTCTCTACCAGAGCTAAAAATCCACAGGAACCAAGATTTTAGTCTGTTTTCTTCACTACTTTATTCTCAAAGCTTCAAACAGTGCCTGGTAAATAGTAGCACTCAAATACTTGTGAACAACTAATTTCTCTTATCAAGTAAGCATATAGCAATAGTCCTATAGCTGTTCCCTATCCAAGACAAAAGACATTAAAAGCCAGACTCAGTGGCTCACACCTGTAATCCTAGCATTCTGGGAGGCCGAAGCAGGTGGCTCACCTGAGGGCAGGAGTTCGAGACCAGCCTGGCCAACATAGTGAAACCCCATCTCTACTAAAAATACAAAAATTAGCCAGGCATAGTGGTGCACACCTGTAATCCCAGCTACTCAGGAGGCTGAGGCAGGAGAATCGCTTGAACCGGGGTGGCAGAGGTTGCAGCAGGCCGATATTGCGCCACAGCACTCCAGCCTGGACGACAAGAGTGAGGCCCAGTCTCCAAAAAATAAAAGTAAAAAAAAAAGTTCACTTTATTTACTACTAAGTTCAAGTATGCACAATTGATGTATGTGTGCATAAAAATAAAGTGACACTTTTACATTACACACAATTTAAAAGCAATGTTAAGTCAAATTTATTAAATTGACCATTATAATATGATGGAATTATACGTTTAAAATTTAAAACTATTCTTACAGTGTAGTTAATTATTAGAACTCCAAGCAACCAAGCTCTTGCTTATATTCAAATCAAACAGGTGAACTCAAAACTGACTTTTGTTTTATCTTATCTACTGACAAGTTTCGTGGGCTCAGGGTCTGCTGGCTTCAGAAAGAATTACAGGTTTGCTCTCGGCCAAATGACTCTATAATCGATGTTGACTGCTTAATTCTGAACTACATCAGTAGCTAACCACTGATGATGAAATGCCCAGATTTGGTTTATTTTCTTTACTGTTTACATACTGTAGAATAAACATTTGGGCAAGAAATACAGATACTAAAGGACCTCAAGAAATTTTCAAAATATAGTACACCTGCCAGGCACAGTGGCTCAGGCCTGTAATCCCAGCACTCAGGGAGGCCGAGGCAGGGCAGGGGTGAATCATTTGAGCCCAGGGGACACAGCAACACCTTGTCTCAAAAAAAAAAAAAAAAGAGGGAAAGTGAGAAAAAGAAAGAATGAATGAATGATTACCAGAGCCACAGAAATTTAGCATGCTCCTGCTTCTTGAAAGTCTACTTAGATCCCAATTCATAATGGGTGTGTCCTGAAGTTTCAATTGTAAGTCAACGATTTGGAATCCAGAAAGTTGTTGTGCTACAGGAACAACATTAAGTACATTAGCTAGGTTCCCGGCTTGTCCACAGCAGCTGATATCACATTAATTTATACTTCCTCTCAGAGCTGACTCATTTCCGTTATTCTCTGGGACTCCCTTCTAAAATGTTTCCATCAAATTTTTCATTAAATGACTTTTGTGGCCTAACCGATATAAACAATGATCCTACTTGCTACATGTCACTATGAAAACAAACTGCAGCGCAAAGCAAGAAAGGAAGAATAATTGAGATTACTTATATCTCTAGAGAAGGATGGACCTCACTAGGTTGTTCATATTCATAGACAGGATATTAAAGTTACAGATCCTAAACCATGAAAAATGAATATACAAAAACTATTTCCAAGAAGAAAATCACAGCAACTTGTACCTTAAAGGTTATGGATTGGCTAAAAGAGACCACACACTGGTTCACCTCCTTTAAATCCCCAATTATTTCACCAATACTACAGAACTTAATAGAAGCCAGGTGATTACCCAGAGCCACAGAACAGGCACACAGGCAGTTTCTCTTTGCTTGGCCTTTCCTTTGCCCCTGTGTTCCATACACAGCACACAAGAAAGGATTCTGACTGAGCTGAGAAATTCCTGCTATTTCACTGCCCCAACAGCTTAACTCACAGCCCTGAAATACTCACACCATTAACTCATGTGATTCCATTTAAAAGAATGTTTCACAAAAACCTTTCCTCATTACTAAATGAAACTCAGCCATCACCGATAAAGTCCACATCCTAATTTTGGATGAGAAGTAAGGGTGGTGCCCAACTACTCCTCAAATTTCCCCCATCTCTTGTCCTTCACTGTCCCAAAGGGCCCAGCTCCCAACAGTTCGACCCTGATAGTGAACTGAGATCCCATTTCTGAAATTCTGGGTGATTCCAAAACTGAGTTTGGTCTGAGAATCTTTGTCCCAAATCTATTTCCTCACAAAAAAATTCCCTAAAGAAAAAGCTTACCCCAAAACATAAAATCTTGGCTCAAAGCATGCTCAATATAAGTTCTGCATGTTTGTGGTTAATCAATGTGGCTAATACAACTAATAGCTGACCTACTGTAGTTTTTACTATGAATTCAGAGTACATTTTCTGAAACTCCAACTACTTTATGCAAACATTTTTAAAGATTAACTGAGATAACACGTAAAGGTGCTTAAAATAGTGTCTCTGGCAGAGAATATGTTCCATAAAAGTGAGTGGGTTTTGTTTTCCCAAAAGGTAAGTCATCTGGGCACTGAATCTGATATGCAATTAGCAACATGAAATAACCTCTCTCTGGCTGCTGTACATTACCGTATCTAAGGAATTTAACTTATCTGCTATCTAATAATCAAAATTTATGCTACAACACCGCTTCAAGTTGCACTTCACTGCATCACTTGTACTGTTTCTGTCCCATGGTTGCTCCACTTAATTCATCCCATACCACTTATAAGGTAATTACGTGTATCTGTGCATCTCACAAAATACGCACATACTCTGTTGTCAGTACACTGACTTCACATTATGATCCTATTTTCTTCATATGGCCATTTAAATAAAACTGGCTTATCCAACATCACCTTCTTCAGAACAACAAATTAATATCTGCCTCATACCAAACAGGGTAGCGAAACTTCCACCTACCATCTATTGTTTGATAAGGCAATGCCAATGTCAACCAAACCAATAATAATCCTAAATGGCAGATGGAAATCCTTAACAAGGAATCCTGATACTCAATCTCTATGCACATCACTACATATCCTTAAGAAAAGGACTCCATGGTGTGCATACAAAGATTTCCTCATCACAGGCTGAAAAGCAACCTAGAACAGGTATTCTGGAACCGAGCCCAGGGGAGGCGGATGCTTGGCCTAGCTCATCTAAAAAGTACCTTCCAGTACTAAAATTCTAGGCTTTCCTGCTTCTATACAGTTGTTAAAATAAATGGCATACAGTTCCTCAGCAGTTGCTTCAAGCGCTTTTTTTTCTTTTCTCTTTGAGACAAGGTCTCACTCTGTCATTCAGGCTGGAGTGCAGTGGTGCGATCATAGCTCACTACAGCCTCAAACTCCTGGGTGCAAGTGATCCTCCCACCTCAGCCTCCAAGGAGCTAGGACTACAGGCACATGCACCACACTCAACTCTATTTATTTATTTATTTATTTATTTATTTATTTATTTATTTATTTTAAATTTTTGTAGAGTCTTGCTAAGTAGCCTTGGCTGGTCTTGAACTCCTGGCCTCAAGCAATTCTCCTGCCTTGGTCTCCCCAAGCGCTGGAACTAAATCTAGGTGACAGCCACTGTGCCTGGCCTCAAGCACATTTTTAGTCTAAGCCTCATGAAGTTTAAAAAAAAATCCCCACACATAGAGGCATGCTTTAATCGTATGTTCCAGGTTCTCTGCAATAAATAAACCAAATAAACCAAATTCTTTTCTATTTGTGACCCCAAAAAGTTTTTAAAATTCACTAGCAAACAGACTTTAAATCAAGCTTGTTGAACCCACAGCCCGCGGGCCGCATGAGGCCCAGAACGGCTTTGACTGCAGCCCAACACAAATTTGTAAACTTTCTTAAAACATTATGAGCTATTTTGAGATTTTTTTGTTTTTGTTGGTTTTTTTGAGATGGAGTCTCGCTCTGTCACCAGGCTGGAATGCAGTGGCGCAATCTCGGTTCACTGCAACCTCCACCTCCTGGGTTCAAGCGATTCTCCTGCCTCAGCCTCCCAAGTAGCTGGGACTACAGGTGTGTGCCACCATGCCCAGCTAATTTTTATGTTTTAGTAGAGATGGGCTTTCACCATGTTGGCCAAGATGGTCTCGATCTCCTGACCTTGTGATCTGCCAGCCTCAGCCTCCCAAAGTGCTGGGATTACAGGCGTGAGCCACCGCACCCAGCTGAGTTTGTTTTTTGTTTTTTCCTTTTTTTTTTTTAAAGCTCATCAGTTATCCTTAGTGTTCGTGTATGTTATATGTGGCCCAAGACAATTCTTCTTTCAGCATGGCCTAGGGAAACCGAAAGATTGGACACCCTGCTTTAAATCTTGATTAAATTCCCTAAATAGCCAACCATGGTGACTCACGCTTGTAATCCCAGCACTTTGGGAGACGAAGGCAGGGGGGACTGCTTGAGGCCAGGAATTCGAGACCAGCCTGGCCAACGTGAGGAAACCCCCATCTCTACTAAAAAACACAAAACTTAGTTGAGCATGGTGGTCCACACCTATAATCCCAGCTTCTTGGGAGGCTGAGGCACAAAAATTGCTTGAACCCAGGAGGCGAAAGTTGCAGTGAGCCAAGATCGCACCACTGCACTCCAGCCTGGGCAACAGAGCAAGGCTCTGTCTCAAAAATAATAATTAAAAAAAAAAGTAAAAAACCAAAAATCTCTAAATAGCCTCAACTCATCATGAAGAGTTTAAGTATACACAAAAAACTACCAAATATTTATCTAGTAAAACAAAAACAACTACTCAAATATTTATGGTGGCCCTACTATGCCTAAGAAGGTACTACTGAGATATAGGAATAATAAATATAGTCCAGGGCCCATTGCCTCAGAGAAGATAACACATATCCATTTAACCAATATTCAACAAACATTTATTATGCAAACTGTGCTTATAAGAGTGGCTAATCCAGTGTACACTGCAGTCAAACTATGAAAAGATAGTCAAGCTTCTTAGCTTTTCCTATTACAAATGACAGGGATACCATGTCCTAAAACTCTGATATCATTTATCATTTCAAATAGTAAAAAAATAAATATTAACACCTGACTTTACTTGTATAATTTGGCAACATTATACTGCATCTAAGAATTTCATATTCTTCATGGTATGGCTATAAATTTCAGTTTAAAACTTACAGAAATAACCAGACAGTTTTATAGTATCAGACTCTTCACATCATAATTTTTATCAGCTGCAACAAAAAGTAAAACAAAACTGTTTTACTGTTACTGTTATCCTTGCCAAATATAACCTCTGTAAAAAGTATGGTGAAATATGTTCATACATATAAACATGACTGCAGGCGACAGAGCAGTCTTTAACTTATAAGCAACCTAAAGGTCATCTTGTATTAACGACTCTGCTAAAGACATCTTGACAGCACGATATGCTAAAGATTTCTTTCCAGGCTTTCAAAGAACCTATCTGTAATATACCAAACTGTAATTTTTCTACCTTACAAGAAGAACGGTTGGGTATTTACACTTTTTACAACATTCATCCTTATATTGTTCAAATATACAGTGAACATGTGCTAATTTCATAATTCTAAAAAAAGCTAATTTAAAAAACTACCCATAATATTATTGAGTAACATGTAATTATCATATATACTGTTAAAAGATGAGGTTTTTTTAACAAAAAAATTAGCCGGGCTTGGTGGCGTGCACCTGTAATCCCAGCTACTTGGGAGGCTTAGGCAGGAGAATCACTTCTCCTGGCCCGGGAGGCAGGAGGTTGCAGTGAGCCAAAATCATGCCACTGCACTCCAGCTTGGGCTACAGAGCAAGACCCCATCTCAAAAAAAAAAAAAAAAAAAAAAAGAGGGGGGCGGGAGTGGAGGGGGGCGGGGGTTCAAGCAGCTAGGACTGATTTGGTATTAAAGTCATTCATTTCCATTCATTCATGTATATAAACATACACATATATACAGACATTTATTTAGTTCTGAAGATTAATAAAATTCAAGTATTTCCTGAATTTCTCACTTAGTGTGCAAATAACTCAACCGTCTCCCCTACAATTATATTTTGCTTTTAAAAAAAGCCAATATTAAATACATTTTTGTGGAACTACACAAAGCCATATATTAAAATTATTTATAATTGTTGATGGTGAACCTTATAAATGGGATTATACTTCTCTCCTACAAAATGAGGAGTGCTACTGCAAGTGGCTCAAAAAGGAAAAAGAGAAAAATTAAGTTTGAAAAACTTTCATGTCAATGACAAAAGTGTTTTATATAGTAACCAGCTAAAGATAAAATCACTGAAAAAGTGATGTCAAGTTGACAATCCATACTAAAAACTTCTTTGCTTGTTTTATTTCTATATCTATCTCCATATATATGGAGATATCTATATATATATATATATATATACGGAGCTAGATATAGATATATATAGATATAAGTAGTTTATCTTGATTTTCTTATTTTGGGAAAGAGGAGCATAAAAGAAAGGAGAAATTATTGGAATTTAGGTTACCTCCTAAGAAAGGAGGCTTTGCTTTAAGAAGATGGGGAATGTAATACTCTATTCGTCTAACCAATCAATAACCACACTTTGAAATCTTTCACTTGTCTTCAACTAGCCATGTAGATCTGTTCCTCAGTATTGCCTTCGATCCACTCTTACCACTTTCTGTCACCTTACTAAAGCATGGCTCTGATCATGTTTTTAAACTCACTAAAAATAGTCTAATGATCTTATAACTGTACTATTTTTGTCCCACCTATTTGTTCAGTTTTCTCTGTATACTTCCTTCTATTTCCTACCCACTAACAACTCATTGTTTGAGATACTTTGATCACATCCGGTATTCATACCTTTGCTCATGCACCGTACCATGTGCCCAGAATAGGCTACCCTGCTCCCATCTCTGCTTATTACTATGTCATGTTTTCCATAAGACTTTCCTCATATCCCTCCAAGTAGACTAACTTCCCTCTTTCCTGACTTAAGGCATTCTTGATTATGTTTATATTCTAGAACTTCTCATATTTTGTCATGTATTATAGTTAGCTATATACAGTTAAGTCTTAGACCCCACTAGATTAATTAAAGGCTGATCAGAAGGAATTGTCTAGAGCTCAGCTGTCATGACCTATTGTTAAATATATTCCCCCAACAACCCTAGAAAGGAATTCTGCATGGTTTAGATAATATGTTTGATTGATTAACCTCATCTTCCATCTGTGAAACATGCTTCCCGCATTTTTCTTTTTTAATTCTCATTTGACAAAGAAGGCTGGCTCTAAAAAGAACAGCTCAGGCTATGCCCAAAAAGTCAAATGATTACTAACAAGCAAGTTACTTAAAAAACAGTATCCGGTATTTGTGAAAGAAGAGTTTTACATTTCACCTAAATGCCAAATCTCCCAATAATATTAAATCAGACCTTAAAGGGTGGGTAACATTTAGAATAAGTAAACAGGGAGATTAAGGAAAGACGCTGATACAGATGACCTAAGCAGAAGAAACAACATGAATAAAAACACAGAAAATAAGAGTTAGGCATTGAGAATGGTTTGGCTAGAGATGAGTAAGTGGACATTAAGTTCCTTTCATATGCCCCTATAGTGCCTGCAGCTTAGCTGGCAATAAAAAATGTTTAATAAATGAATGATAAAATAACATATTTTTAAAGGGCTGAGGAAGAAATGGAAGACAGAAAAAGAAAGGTGTGATATTTCTTTCACTTTGCCCTCTGATAGTTACATTTTTTTAATGTATCCATTTTTAATGAATGAATAAATTCATTTCTCTGGAAGTGGATCAAATACAAAATTAGACCCAAGTATACACATTTAATAAATGCACACATGGACAGATTTAGTTGTCAAAAGAATGGCTCTAAATGCAAGAATCTCTGTAAAGACCTAATTGGAATCAGAGCTGACGCTGAGATCGCTGTGATACCAGCATGGCCCTAAGCCAAATCTCTTTTCTGGCTGACCATGCAGGCTGTGTCACTGGACATTAACTTCACACAACATGTAACAAACCACCAAGTGTCTAGTTCTCTTGTGTCCGCCTAAGGCCAGAGCCTACCTTCCCTTACAGCAGTGCCAGCTTATCAACGTACTCAAATTTTATTACAACAAAGTCTTGGAAAGCAAATCCAAGAAGGCAAAAAATAAGTCATTTCTACTCTTCTTGTTACATCTAGATCTTGTCATAATTTAGTAAACTAAACTTCTATAATCAATGAGGTGGGAAAGACTCAGTGCTCCAGGCTGGCATTCTAAACCTCCTACAACCGGGTCTGAGCTTCCATTCTGCTCTCGTGTTCCACTACTCCTCCACTGCACCTCTGCCACTCAACTTCGCTAAGTGTTCCTATACAAGCTCCTCTGACACTTAGGATAACCTATGTTTCTCTGACCTCCCACAGAACTGAGGCACACCATTCTCACATCTGGCATTTCCTCATTCTTATTATTATCTGTTTGTACAGCTCTAAGCCAGAAAATAGTGAAAACTTATTTTTATTTATGGACAACCTAGAATTACGGAAAGATACAAGCTTTGAAAGTAGTTTAGTCTAGATTTGAAACCCACATATGGTACTTCAGGGGTGTGTGGCCTTAGGTAGGTCGTTTAATTTTCTCAATCTAAGTTTCTTCTTTTGTAAATGCAACCTATAATATATCGCTACCAGATGTTCTGAGAACTAGAGCTATGGTACGTAAAGCACCTAGCACTACACTAGGCCCACAGTAGGGACTCGTGTGGATGCCCCTACTACTGTTCAACTTTGTCTCTGACTCCAACCTACTCCCCAGAGGTCTATCACAACATCTTATTGTTAAAAAATGGGAAAACTTCAGAGGACCAGAAGATTAAGAGGGGGGAAATGAGAAAACTACAGAGAATAAACTAGTCCCATAAATTTCATCTTAACTAGGCTTTTAGCAAGCAAAATCTCTTGGGGGTGGGGAGGGGAGATATTTAGTTATGAATTTCTGTTATTGAAAATAAATGTGTATAAGAGGTCTTCATAAGGACGTCAATTTTCATATATAATTGGTTGAGATCAAAGACATCTTAAGTTACTATAGAAATGTCAGAACTGTTAAATGCTTTAAGTGAAAATGTTTCTTCACATCCTACCTTCAAATTGCCTCCTCAATGAAAAAGAAAATTATTTTAAAAGGTATCACGAAGAAACTCCATTAGCAAGGTGTTAGGACAGAGATTTAACAATAAACGCATACAATAAAACTCCTTTGTTACAGTGATTTTAGAATAAAGCACAGTACAAACTATATTACATTTGGCCTTTAGAAAAATGCAGATGGGAAGGATCCTACACAGTGGTTGAAACTGAGCAATAAGAAGTCACATTACAATGGACCTAAAGGCAGGAATAAATCTACAGCAAGTTTTGGAAAATCAAAATTAGCCATAATGTGCAAAAATAAAATGATGCCATCTGTCTATAGCGGCTATGGGAACCATACAGACTAATGAGTGCCTTATTTTTAACCTTCCTAAGGGTGAAAGTCACCAAGTGAAAGAACAAAGACAGAGGGGCAAAAGGTAAAGTAGGTCTTTTAGAAATACATTTCCTAAATCTAAGGACATTCAGAGACATCGACACTCAACTTCTACTCCCTATCCTTTCTCACCTTTATATTTCTGTATGTTTTCTCTGGTTTGTCCAAGATTCTCAAATACAAATTTCTGAATGCCAAATCCTACTTATCTGGACCCCTCAAATACAACCTCTTCCTTTTCCACTATACATTCAATGAAAAGTGTTCCCTCTCCCTTCATAATCTCCTAAGCATTTTCACTGATCCTGTCTTTTAGTATTTGCAGGCTCTATCCTACATGGAAATATATTTGTTTCATACAGGTTCTCTCTCCCCTGCTGGATTATAAACTCCTTGTGGATAGGATCTCCGTATAAAGCCCCCAAAAGGCTGTGAAAAAGTAAATACTCAGTAAATGCCTGCCAAATCAAAGAGGAATAAAAAGTAGTTTTTGTAAAGTCTGAAATTATTTTCAGCATAATTTTATTATACCATAATTATATTACTGTTTCCATTTCTAAATAAACTTTAACAGCAGCCAATGGTTCATATCCTGCTAACAAGAGGTAATAAGATATTGTTTGTGGTTTTTTGCTTTGCTTGGACATACGTGATTAAAGCGTCAAGTTTTGTCTGCAGCTAAAGTTTCTTCAACTTCAAGAATGTGTCTACCATGCAAAGAATGCAAGCCACAGTCTGGTACATTTCATATCATCCTTGGGGGATTTCCTACTCCCTTGCGGCTTGCCACCTTCCCTGCACTGTCAGAAGACCAGAGGGGCATAGAGGTAAAGATTTGGAATCACAGGACTCAGTCTTTACAAAAACCCAATGGCGTGGGGGGGAAAGCAACCAAGGAGAGAAGGACTGTTCAACATTGGAAAACAAATTTAGGAGAAATAATTAAATGAAATGTGAGTATTGCAGTATGATTAATAAGAAAATGCCCTTATTTTTTAAAAATGCATGCTAAAATACGATAGGTTATGGTTTATGAGACTTGCTTTAAAACTTTCAAGAAAAAGTAGACAAAGTAAATATTATAAAATATTAACTAGTATTAAATACAGGTGAAATGTAAACAGGAGTTCAGTATAATATTCTATCTAGATTTTCATATATCTGACATTTTTCATAATAGAAGTTAAAAAGAGCAGGAAAAAAAAAAAATTCCGAGTCTGTGAGATCTGGAGTCCAGTCCCAGGTAGAACACGCCCAGGTAGGACATTTAAGAGCAGAGATAAGTTACTAAACCTCTCCGAGCCTTGTTCTGCATCCAATGACAGTAATGTGAGGCTCAGAATTCTCCAATAATTAAATTAGTGTGTAACATAATTAGGGCAATGACATCACATGTAACTATACAATAAATGTTAGCTATTATTACTATCCACATTAGTGCTGGAAGGTGGAATGACCTGGTTAAAGAGTCTCTGTCACTATACACAGAACTTACTGAGGGGAGGGGAGTGTTTAACTGGAAGAAAAGATTGCTCACCTTTCTCAGTCTATTTGCCAAGAGCTTATGGTGGCAGCTAAAAGCCAAAATGTGGAACAAAAGAAGGAAGCCAGAGTGCCACCTCCATTAGTTAGAGCAGGCAGAGAGCACATTCTGATAGCTACCACAAGTCTCTATCCCACCACCACAAATAATTGCAGAGAAGGGAGCAGGAAGCAATCAATTTCTGTAATAGCAATAACCAGATATATGTCATTAACAACAAAAATCAGTTTTAACCACATACAATAAAGAATTAAAGTTAAGTGTTGTGCCCCCTTAAAGGCCAAAAGCAAGTTAAATTCACTCTCCTGGAAGAAATAATAGCAGTATTCCTATGGCAACTCCTCACAGGAAGTAAATGATTCCTTTTGAAAGACACAGACTAGACACAAATATATACACACTTGCTTCTATTTTAACCCATTCCCCCTTACTGCAGGAAATTTTGAAACCAAACAGAAAAATCTTTCTAACTTTAATATGCAAATAGTATATCTGGTTTAATGCTCCCTTTGTGCTGAGAATGTATTTTCCCATAAGCACACGGAAGGCTTATTGACACCATGGCCTCACAAGTTCTTCTCATCCCCAAACTGACAACATTCAGATAACTCCTTCATTAAAAACAGAAATGGCCTTAATGCGTATACACAAATCAATGTCGGTGAAAGGAAAACTACTCAATAGTAGGTATAACAACAACAAAAATCACAGCTGCCCGGAGCACTGCTCTTGTAGCAATAGCAGAAATAGTGGTAACATTAACAACAGTTTATACTTACTGAATTTTCTATGAGTGAAATGCTGTGCTAACTGATTTCCATGTGTTAACTCATGTAATCCTCACACTCAATGAAGCATTGTGACTCTTAATTCCCCACTTTGCAAATGAAGAAAATGAAATGTGGTGGTTTGCCAAAACAAAGTCAAACAGCAAGTACCCAGGAGAAAGAGAGGATTTTAACCCATGCCTGACTCCAAAAGCCCGTCCTATTAATTACTGAACAACACTGCTTCTCTTGAATGGATCCTCACTCACACCTGCAATAAGTCTGGAGTTGGAACTCTTGTTACCAAGAGCAATTAGTGGCACTAACAATGAAAACATAGATTCAACTTCCCACCACCCAATAAATAATTAGGTTATTTCTAGTAAGCATACTTTTAAGAAAGGAAAACTCTACTTTTTTAAAGAAATAATTCCATGCAAACGATTTGTTTTTCCCATGTTGTGAGATCAAACTCACCTTCTCCAGGAAACTCTCTGTTCAGAATGACATTCTCTGAGGGTTCCAGATAATTAAGTATTACTTAAGAATGAAAAATTTGTGGCAGTAGTGCTTACGAGACACATTAGTAACTCAATAAAATGTCAAGTACCAACATAGCATAAAAGACACATATTCTTAACTTTTACTTTTTAAAATCTATGAAAAGTTAGGTATTAAATCCAACCACAGAAAATAAGTATTGAATTTTTAAAGCAATATTTTTCGATAAAGATATTCTTTTTATTTAATTGTGTGTTGATGGTGGTGGTGTTTTTGTTTTTGAAAAAGAGTCTCACTCTGTCACCCAGGCTGGAATGCAGCTGGCACAATCTCGGCTCACTGCAACCTCTGCCTCCCAGGTTTAAGCAATTCTCCTACCTCAGCCTCCCAAGCAGCTGGGACTTCAGGCACACAACACTACACCTGGCTAATTTCTGTATTTTTAGTAGAGATGAGGTTTCACCATGTTGGCCAGGCTGGTCTCAAACTCTTGACCTCAAGTGATCCACCTGCCTTGACCTCCGTAAGTGTTGGGATTACAGGCGTGAGCCACCACCACCGGCCAAGATATTCTCTTATGGCCAGGCACAGGGGCTCATGCCTGTAATCACAGCACTTTGGGAGGCCAAGGCGGGAGGATTACTTGAGTCCAGGAGTTCAAGATCAGCCTAGGCAACACAGAGAAACCGTCTCTACAAAAAATTTAAAAATTAGCCAGGTGTGGGTGGTACACACCCAAAGTCCCAGCTACTTGGGAAACTGAGGTGGGAGGATTGCTTGAGCCCAGAGGTTCCAGACTGCAGTGAGCCATGATCATGTCACTGCACTCCAACCTGAGTGACAGAGCAAGACTCTGTCTCAAAAAACGACGTTCTCTTTAATGTTCTGAATACTTCCAAATGCCAAATTTCTTTTAAATCAATTAAATGTAACGATGAAAGGTCAACAGTCTTGACAGAGCAAACATACCACAGTTCGGCCACACAATAGGTATTTCACGTTTTCTCATGAAAACGTTTACAACACCAAAATAATACCTTTTGATCCAAGCCTATTAGCGCTGTGGGCAGTGCTAGAGTTCATTTCACCGCTGAAGTTACATTTTGCCACACAGTCTTCAACAAAGAATGTATGGTTCACACTTTTCTATAAACAAGATTTAAGGGGAAAAAAAAACCTTGAAACTGTTAATATATTAACTATTCTTTGCTGTTGTTATTCATAAAAATTGTGTCTGTTCTTCAAAACACAAAAAACTAAATATATTGATTCTAGGTCCCAAGCACTTATTCACTCTTCCATTTTAATAAAATAATCAGATACATAATTATAGGACCAGTATGTATTTTCATATTAGAAATAGTAAGGTGGAGGGTAGAAAATATCATTTCCATTATTGTGTATATAAATTTATACTCTATTTTTCTTACTCAACTCAATAAGGGAAAAATTTCTGTGCAATTACTTTCACGTTTCTATAGACAATTCACTCTAGAATGGTTTTTCTTAAACCTCTCATTTTACTTCATGCTATTATCGTAAATAACTATCATTTTTATTTCTACAAAAACATGAAATTCTTTAAGCTTATAATAATTATTAGCAATATGTTAAGGTTCAAGTTCATCAGTTTTTTTTATTTTTGCAGTAGTATAAATATCTTTCCAACCATATGATGAATGTCTCCAGCAAGTTATAACTTACAACTTTCCACTGAAGCATATATTATACATAAGATATGAGTACATCCATTAGGATTCCATTTTTAACTCCAAATTAACAAATGAAGGAATACTGGATTGTAGGCAGCACAGTGTAAATGTAAAGTCTCCAATTACTTAAAAAAAAAAAAAAAAAAAAACTTTTATAGTCCAAAATGAAGTTCAATACATCTGATGGGGAGGCAGGGGTGTTCATTTCAAAGTCTAGCATCAGTGGCAAGTTAAGGAAAAGATGTTGCACATTGCAGGCCAAGTTTCCAAGTACCAACCTCCTCCTTACCACAAGTATCAATGCATCAAAGGTATAAACTACTAAGCGAAGTTTTAAAAGAAAATGTTTAAGTTCAGAAGAGGTTTTATGTACCTTATTTTGTAAGAATATTTAAGCTCAGAGTTCTCAAAATGCAAATATATTTTATCTGAAGTGTTCCCTCAAATTAGAGGATATATAACTAACAAGTACGGACTTCTTATCAGCCCTCCCTCCTAAAGTAGGGGTGGCCATTATGCCTAAGTCATAAAACTGCCGAGTAGAGCAAAATATCTCCCTTTGCCTTTTTCTGTGATGTGGACACACAATGTGGCTCCAAGGCTGGAGTACAAGACAGAAGCTGAACATTGAGGATGAAAGAGCAACTAGACAGAAGGAGCCCAGATTCTTGACACCATGATAAAACTACCGTAATAGTCCTAGGCTTTTGCTCTCAGGATATTGAGAGAGCAAGCGAGAGAGAAGGAGAGAAACTGGTATCCACTGCTGTTATTTTAGGACTTGTACTATAGCAGTCAAGCTGTATCCTAAAAATCCAGATTGCACAGCCTCAACACTTGCCACCAAAACATAAATCAAAAAACTTTTTCATCTTTGTCGTATTTCCCATACTTAAATGTTCTTCCCTTCATTAACCACCCTGTGCTATGCCTTTCATAATATTCACTATACTAGTATACTACACTAAGATTTACTTAATATACTTATACCCCAAGTATAGTTCACTATACTAGAATTTACTTGATTTACTTAATATACTTATCTCCCAAAAAATAAACTGTCTGAGGACAGGGACCATGTCTATCTTCACAGCTGTATCCCCAGCACCAGCACAGTGCCTACTATGTATCTGAAAAACAGAACAAATTACACGAATCCTTCAGCACTCCAGCCTTTGTTAATCTCCCTCTTCCCTAAACTCCTCAAGGATCTACACTTTATGCCATATACAAGTCTATCAGTAGTATACTACTCCTTTCTTTGGCAACGGTTTTGTCTAAGTCTCCTCTTCTCAACATAACTGAACTACCTGAGTGCAAGAGCACTATGCATCCTACTACCTCTCCGTTTTACAGAAAGCACACAAATATCTGTTGAATAGTGAAGTTGTTTCTCACAAAGGTGAATACACCAGCATTCTCCCACAATATTTAGTCTTATAATGCAAACATTACGTTATTATGGTGCTTTTGTGGTCCCCACAAAGACAAACTTTTATTCTCTTCAAACTTCAAACTGTACTTCTGGAGAAAGGGGTGAAAATCCCAGTGTGTTTTAAAAGATATGCTATCAATACTGAGCCCTTAGTGCCCAAGCATAAAGTCAATGCGAGGCAAGTCCCTTGCACCAGCAACAGTAGGAGCAAAGAGGCAATGATTACATATAAGATGGAGGTGAGACCTGGCAGGATCAGATTACTGGTTGCCACAGCCCGCTGGTATTTTCTGAATAGAAGACAGTCCGGAGTAAAAACAAAACAATTAAATTGGATACTGAAAGGTAAGCAGTAGATGAGGAGCTTAGGGATGCAAGCTGCAAGGATCCAGAACCCAAACAGGAAACAGATGAACGCAGGTCAGAGCAGAAATTCAAGGGGAAAAAAAAAAAAAAACCGAGAAACAGATTGTGGTCATCTCTTATTCTACATACTGCAAGACAAGGCAAGAGCTTATCTCAAAACCTAGGATGACTTCAACTGGGAATGAAGGGGAAGGTGAAGGGAAGAGGGGATGGGATATTTGAGGCATTTGAAATCTACTTTGACATTATCAGTAATCAACTAATTATTAGAATTCTGGAAGAAGATCGGTTCTTCAGAATTAGTATTCAAAGAAAATATCCTATTTCAGAAATCCAACTATTTAAATTCAGAGCCAATCTCAGCGTGGTCCTATTTGCTGCTGGTGACAGTAGTGGAGTATATGTCTACGTCTGTAGAACTAATTGGCAAAGATAAGTCCGATTTGGTGATATTTAAACAATACATGGTATTAACTCTAAGAATCTGAAAGAGAAAAACAGAGTATATGATGCACTCCAGTGAGATTATATTATAAAAGATTTAGTATCTGCAAATAAATCTACCAACAAAGTGACAGACAAAAATTAGGGATAAAATGAAATAAGGAAAAGAAGCGATGAGGAATCAAAATTAATGCTCATGTGACTAGCATTGTGGTAATGTTGATAATTTTCAAATAGTGGAATTTACTACGTCACTTAATTTCTATATTATCTCATTTAATTTCTATAACCTTACAAGATAGGTACAATTAATATCCCCCATTCTACAGATGACAGTAAAACACAGAAAGCTGAAGTAACCTCACGTGACTAGTGAGCAGTTCAACTGTATTTAGATATTTTTCTATTCTGTAACAAATCCAGAAATTTAAAAAGAACTGGCTCATGTCAACAATCAACCAATAGTTCTTAACATCTTATTCTCTAGGGAAACTGAAAAATATGTTCAATCCTACCTTCCTTCAACAACAACTTCAACAAACAAAAAATCACCACCACAACTTTCTAGGAAAGGATTTTCTGAGTTTTTCTAAGTTTTAAAACAAAGGCAACATTAAGAGTTAAAGATCGACAGTATTCTATTTATTTAGAAGCCTCTTAAAATAAATAAATGAATTCTCTATTTTGTGCCACTGAATACTACAGGATCAAAGTAAAGCCTCTGAGATTATTATGTCCAACAAATGGAGGTCGCAATCTCAGAGTTTATGTAGACATCACAAAAACTGTTTCAATAGAAGTGGTTATTTTAGAACTGGCTGTCTGCCCAGAGAATGCCAGAATACATTTTAACCAAGTGGACAGAAAAAGAAGCAGATGGATTTGAACACTATTTTTTATCTACTAAAGTCTAAATAATACCAGAATACAATTTCCTCTCATTACTTTTATATATAATTAGACTTAGAAAGGTGAGCAGGTAATTAAAAGAAAAATCTTCTATAATTCACTTTTTATCACTCTAACTTACAGTTCACATTCCTATATACTTTCAACTTACATTTTAATTGAATTTTAGAGATTTTAAGAAAAAAGCACTCAAGTATCACTACTGATACCTTGTTTTGTAAGCTGTTTGTCAAAATGATTTAATATTTAAAAGATATGAAAGGATATATTTAAATGTATGGAATTAAAAAGGTGGTACTGTGTTTGTGAATAAAGTTATTTACAGATCATATCAGCCACATCTACATATTTAATTCCATAACAGCTTCTCTTGCTTTTTAAATTAAATCTTCAACTTTACAGTAACTGATTCTCAAGAGAAAGGGATTATAAATGTGCCACATCCTGCTATTTCAAAGCAGCAGCACAAAATAATAAAGAGCTAACTAATGTGGTCCCAATGATTACTGTACATTTCATTAAAATTTCATCTCTTTGTCCCATTTAAGGACTCACTACATGCTTCTGGCCATATGGAATCTGTTACGCAGACCCTGTGATTTCTTCTCCATGAAGATTACTTCACTACTTGCACAGAACAAAATAATATAAACTAAAAAAATAATTTATACCATGTTTACAGCTGAGTTTTCCTATAATTCTGCTACAATTCAAACTATCAACATATCGTCAGGTTAAATTCCATTATAATAAAACAGACAGATATTTAAATTTTTTCACAAAGGAATTTAAAGTCCCAAATAACGTTCAATTAACTGATAGTTTAAAAATAGTAACTAATTCTTGAGCAATAAGGTCTTTTAACTGCTATTTTTGTTGTTGTTGTTGTTTGCAACATACATTTCAACACTACTGAATAAACAAACTTAGTCCAAACAAAACCATTTAGGTGAGTCACGATGCATCATGATAGTGGCCAACTCTCTGGAGAGCCCTGCAATAGTCACCTGAGAAGCAGCATGATGTAGCAGGAAACCTGGATCTGCCTCTACTATGGAAACTGGACAAGTCATACAAAACTGGACAAGACACTCAGCTCCTTTGGGCCTTGGCTCTGATCTGTAGGAAGAGGCTGGACTGGATCCAAACTTTAATTTAAAAAAAAAAAAAAAGTGTCTCACCCTGTCACCAGGCTTGAGTGCAGTGGCATGATCAGAGCTCCCTGTAGCCTCGAACTCCTGAGCAGCCATTCTCCTACCTCAGCCTCCTGAGTAGCGGGACTGCAGGCACACATGACCACACACAGGTTTTTCTTTCTTTTATTTTTTATTTTTTTTTTTTTTGTAGAGACAGGGTCTCAAACCCCTGGGTTCAAGTGATCCTCCTGCCTCAGCCTCCCAATGTGCTGAGATTATAGGCGTGAGCCACCGTGCCTGGCCTGCAAACTTTATAAACAGAATTCTGGCTAAAGCCTCCAGTATAAATGGGCAAAGTAGATGTCTTAATTTATTTTATGCTGCTATAACAGAATATCTGAGACTCGGTAATTTATGAAGAAAATAAACGTATTTCTTATAGTTCTGGCTGAGAAGTACAAGACCATGAGGTCTGCATCTGATAAGGGACTTCATTTTACATCATCCCAGGTCAGAGGGCAGAAGAGCAAGAGACGGTGCACACTCCTTTATAACTAACCCACTCCCAAATAAAGACAGTAATCCATTCACAGGGGCAGACCCGTCATGACCGAATCACCTAATAGGCCCCAACTCCCAACACTATTGCACCAGGGATTAAGTTTCTAACACACAAACTTTGGAGAACACATTCAAACCACATCAGTGGACGTGCACTGACCTCCTTCTCCCACAGCAGCTCCTGAAACAGTTCTGGAA
Organism: Homo sapiens; assembly: GCF_000001405.40. NCBI lineage: Eukaryota > Metazoa > Chordata > Mammalia > Primates > Hominidae > Homo > Homo sapiens. Next base: position 116,161,324 of record NC_000012.12, read on the forward strand.
GTGGCAAAGTCCTCAGGAGAACAAAGTTTGAAAATCTAAAGAGTTTGGAAATATATATATATACACTTCCCAACCACCTTCCAGTACTAACCCCCAAATTCTTTTTACTTTGATTAAATTAACATGACCTCCCGCAACACTGCTGCTCCAAAAAATATCAATAAGAAATCAGATAAAGCAATTACATTTAATAAATATTTACTGAGTATTTACTAGGTGCTAGACCCTGAGGATTAATGATGAATAGAACAAGGCCTCTCCCCGTCAAAGTGAGCCCACAAGCTATAGGAGACAGATATAACCAACTACAATGCAAACAAGCAAAAGTTACTATGGATTAAGCCAAGAGTGCTGACTAAAACACATAGGAGGAGCTGCTTACTCAAACCAGAGGTCAGGAAAGCCTTCCCAGAAAAAAATTACGTCAACGCTAACAAAACAAATATATATTGGCTTGAATATAAAATGACAGTGTTTTAACCTGAGTAAATTCCCTTGTGTTTCTAACCTAACCACTCCCCTCATCAAGCTTCTTCACTATTTATCCATATGCTCTCTATCACCTTTACTCACTGTATCTTTTTTTAAAAAAAGAAATGGAATATCTAACAAGTTCTTAGGTGACGGGGGCAGGGGGGCAAAGAAAAGAAACACGATCTTGTATAACTGACAATGGCTACATCCATGTGAATACTCCATATGGGAATAATAACCTTTCAAGTGTTAACAAAGTGGAGTCACTCATGCCAAATGTCATATAATCAAACTGCAACTGTAAGAAAGCAGATAGATCCCAAAACAGACGAGTTTTTCCTAAAAACAGGAGATTCTAGCCTACCTGAGTCAGAACAAGAAAGTCCCCTCTGCTTTAACCCTTATAAAAAAAAAGTAAACTGAAGTAATCTATTGTTAACTAATCAGCTTATTTTCCCCATTGTTATGTTTCCTCATTCCCACCTCACAAAACCCAATAGTCTGCCATTGCCCAGTAGAAGCTGTGATTCTATTAGAATGGAGGCTGCACCGATTCATGAATCGAGAATAAAAGCCAATTAGATACATAACTAAATGAGTTTTAATTTTGTCTTTTGACACAAGAGTAAAAGTGGATATGGAAATATCCATGTGAGTATGGACTAATACAAGAGGGTTAAGGATTGGTAAGCCTACATGGTTATTTATATAAACTCCATCCATGGATTTCATGTTGAATGTAAAGGCATAATCTTTCAGGCCCAAAGACATTTTAAATTTTTTAATGTTATCACATGTTTCCAACTTAACCTAGAAATTATTTAATCAATGTTTTGAGAAGAATTAAGTACTAGACAGTAACTATAAAATTACTTCAGAAACAATAAAATTCACATATCTCCAAATAAACCTATTTGGAAAATAATATGATCAATCTGTTATCTTGACCACTAATTTGTATATACAATTCCTCGTAAGTTATACTTTTATGTCAAGTGACTTTTTCTATTTTTCTCTTTTACTACGTCTTAACATTTTAAATGGTAAAAATTCAAGTTGAACTGATCATTGAAGTCTTATTAAATCAAGACTTTTAAAAATAAAGATAAAAAATAAATAAAGAGACAAGGTCTTGTTATATTGTCTAGGCCAGACTAGATTCAAACTCCTGGGCTCAAGTGATCCTTCCACCTCAGTCTTGAGAGTAGCTGGGACTACAACTCAGGCCACCATGCCGAGTTTAAATAAAGACATTTTTAATGCAAAATACAATTATTTCAGAATTTTTTATGACTTGGGACAATGGCAAGACTGAAGATTACTTTTGCTTAAACTATTTCTTCTCAAATAGTTACAAAATACAAACAAAACTGCCTAATATATTCATGAATCAAAACAAAGGTTTAGGTATGATAGAAGACACCAGAGGCAGGTATTTACAAATCAATAAGCTAATTGCACTATCATCCTTATTAGTTAAAAAGCCCTATCAAGTATATGACATTAAATATATATCTTTATATAATAAAAATTCATGAATAATTGCACTGTTTATAGGTGAAGAATTTTTTTTTTTTTTTTTTTTAAGACAGAGTCTTGCTCTGTCACCCACGCTGGAGGGCAATGGTGCGATCTCGGCTCACTGCAACCTCTGCCTCCCAGATTCAAGTGATTCTCCTGCCTCAGCCTCCTGAGTAGCTGGGATTACAGGTGTGCACCACCACACCCAGCTAATTTTTGTACTTTTAGTAGAGACAGGGTTTCACCATGTTGGTCAGGCTGGTCTCGAATTCCTGACCTCATGATCCACCTGCCTCGGCCTCCCAAAGTGCTGGGATTACACTGTGCCTGGCCAAGGTGAAGAATTTTTAAGTGTATTGAAAAGGGTATTTACAAAAATTCATAGTAAAGCCCTTCTAAATAGAGAAGTACACATATCATACATAATAACTGCTTAGAGATGAATTAAGCTGAAATTGCGTTTTTGAATTTTTTTATAAAGGAGACTATTTCCTAATATAAGCCAATCTCCCAGTAATATCTTCAAATTGCTAAGCCTATACTAGAGAAATCAAATTCACAATAATGGTATACTTCAATGCCATAATATCAAATGAATAAAGCAGTAATTTTCTTCATTCACTGAAGGCAGCACAGGACAAAAGAAGTAAAACTGAAAATGTTCTTCTTGGGAGAAAAAGGGAAATATTTTAAGTTCAATAGTAAGAGATGACCTATGTAAAATTCATCAGAATATTTCCCAGAAATTTTCACATACTTAAAAAGAAACAGGTCCATTCACAAGTTCACGAGCTATGACTGGGTTCAATGCTTGCTGCTCTTCAAGCACAGTATTTCATCATATATTTCATTCTTTTCCCATCAGCACTATGCACCAAGACACATGAAAGTGCATATCAAATAAAAAAACTGAATAGTTTCTTACCACAAAGCTTCACTTTTGTTATTTCAGAGACAGATATAAAAATGTATTTAAACAATCTCAAATAATTAACTCATGAGGTGACCCCACCTATCAACAATTCAACTTCCTCAACCAAAATCTTGTAAGTATGAAAGAAAAAAACCAACAACAAAAAAGGAGACTTAGGAACATAATAACAAAATACAAAAAAGAAACACATTTTGTTTATTTATTTAACTGAAACAGAGGCTGCTGCAGCTGCAGGAGCCTTTTCTGACTGATGTGACATGAGCTGCTACATTTAAAACCAGACGCTTTAAACAGATGGCTATTCAGTTAAAGCCTTCAGGCTTATCTCCCACACTTGGTCACAGTTGCCAAGGAAGAGGACACTAGTTTTCCACTATAGCTTAAGTATAATTTCACACAGCACCATGGATTGACCACTGACAATTACACACACGACATCACAGACTGGTGATGTAACTGCTAACCGATGTCACACTGTCTTTTCAGAGTATTGCTAGTTACAAAGAAAGCACCAAGAAACAGATGTTAAAGCCTAGGTATAGAATGAATTTTAGCCTGAAATGTAGGCTATAGCAAATATACAATTCAAGAACCACTCTATACTAATAAATATTTCAAGTTATGTTTACTTTCAGTCTTTTGTTCATGTCAGAATTTTCACTGCCACAGCAATAACAAGCAAAAAGTGTAGCTGGAGCATAAACCAATTAAAGATCACCTTGTACTCATGTAAGTTTTTTGAATCAGCTTCCAAAAGCATATCTGCAATACATGGTTAAGAATATTATAGTCTTCATGTACCTGCTTTTGGATTATGAGTCAGTATTAATCATCCAAACAAGTACAGCAGTCTTCAGCACTAGTGCTGCAGTAAAACTTCGGAAGAACTGACATTCAGACTCCTGACACAAAAACATGACAGAATCTGTCTCCAAGAAAATATCTGGGCCCCTCTGAGGTTCTGTCCAAGATAGAAAGGGCTTAAGGCAATGAAGTAGGCACCATCCTTTTTTTTTTTTTTTTTTTTTTTTTTTTGACTACTAGACAAACTTTCTGACTAGAATGCCTATGTCCACTTTTTTGTTTGTTTATTTTTGAGACGGAGTCTCACTCTGTCACCCAGGCTGGAGTTCAGTGGCACGATCTTAGCTCACTGCAACCTCTGCCTCCCGAGTTCACGCCATTCTCCTACCTCAGCCTCCCAAGCAGCTAGGACTATAGGCGCCCGCCACCAAGCCCAGCTAACTTTTTGTATTTTTAGTAGAGATGGGGTTTCACTGTGTTAGCCGAATGGTCTCTATCTCCTTACCTCGTGATCCCCCCCGCCTCAGCCTCCCAAAGTGCTAGGAGTACAGGCGTGAGCCACCGCACCTGGCCTGCCTATGTCCACTTTTGGCATGCACTTCTGCCACCTTGCACATTGTAGACTAACAGAGTTTCACCATTCCTGTCTCGTTGCCCAACCACTCACCTTCCTCAAGACCCCACCTTCAATTCCTGCTTAAAATATGTAACATGGATTCTCCTTGTCTTTTTAAGATAAAGACCCAAATCCTTATCACTGACTGAAAGCCCTTTTGTGGCTACACTATGCCTAGTCTAGCCCTATCTGCCCTCAGGTGGGCCTCATCTGATCACATGCTCTCAGGTATTCTCTCCACTACAGCTGCATTGGTCTTTCGTTCCTGGAATACAACATGCCTCCTGCCACCAAGGGCTGCTGTCCTTTCTGCTATAAAATATTGTCATTCCTCTCTTCATCTACTTCAAGTATATTCTACTTTCAGATCTCAGTTCAAATGCCACTTTATCAGGTAAACCACTTTTCTGGTCAGGCGCAGTGGCTCATGCCTGTAATTCCAGCACCTTGGGAAGCTGAGGCAGGAGAATCACTTGAGGCCAGGAGGTGAAGAACAGCCTGGGCAACATGGTAAAACCTCACTGTGATGGCTAATACTGAGTGTCAACTTGATTGGATAGAGGGACACAAAGTATTAATCCTGGGTGTGTCTGTGTGGGTGTTGCCAAAAGAGATTAACATTTGAGTCAGTGGGCTGGGGAAAGCAGATCCACCCTTAATCTGGTGGGCACAATCTCATCAGCTTCCAGCAAGTATAAAGCAGGCAGAAGTTCTGTCCCTCTAAGAGAATCCTGCCTAATACAGCCATCTCTACTAAAAATACAAAAATTAGCCAGGCGCTGGCCCGTGTAGTCCCAACTACTCGGGAGGCTAAGGCATGAGAATCACTTGAGCCCGGGACGCTGAGGCTGCAGTGAGCCAAGATTGCAATGCTGCATTCCAGCCTGGGCAACAGAGCAAGACTCTGTCATTAATAAATAAATAAATAAACAAACCATTTTTCTGGCCTCTTATTAAGTCAAATCACCATATTATCTATACAGCACCATACTGCTCATAATCATACTTGTCTTCACTGCAGTTTTGTGTTATTTTATTAATACCTGCCTCCTACCCTGCCAATAACCTAAATCCAAAGATTGCACAGACCAAGTTTGTTTTTACTCCACAGTGCTTACTATAGTGGCTGGCACAAACTGAGCACTTAATAAATATTTGTTGAATGAATAAGTACAGAGAAGGATTTTAAAAATAAATATGCATCATTCAATAGAAAAATTTAGTATCACATTTTTCAATCACAGTCCTACCATTCTTTATTTTATTGAAATTTAAAAATTGTGAAAAGAACTCTTTAGGGATCAAATTTTTCATCCTTTGACTTCAAGTATGAAGACAAAATTCTTCATACATGACCCCATAAATTTATATCACAAAATTCGATGTTCAAAACTAAAATCTTTAAAAACCAGACTGTTTTAAAGAAACAAAAGATTAAAGATGAGTTTGTAAAGATAAAGAGATAGACAAATTGATTAAAAAGAAACCTCAGGCAGAAAAGAAACTCTTCAAAGAGCATAAATGTTTTATAGAGAAGAATATATTTTATTGTTACAATAAAAAGATACTAGGGTATGGAATTGTTGGCAAGATTAATATTATGTTTACAAATGAAAAGCATCCCTCGAATACAAGCAGTTTAAACAACTGTTTGATCAAAAAATACAGGGTACAAAAGATTTGATGCCAGTCTATTAAGTATACAATGCTCTATTTTTAAAAATGTAACAATTGACAGGCCAGTAGATACTGTGTAACATTAATTTTTCCTCTTTAGAGCTATGTTGACTTACAGATTTGGAGGTTTAACGTTTCCCCACAATATTTATACTTTAAAAATATCTTGTTCGTTCAGTAAGGGCCATCACTTACAAGTATTTATTTTATGTGGAGATCACTTTGAGGTGTCAAAAAAAAATCAATTCATCATATTCTGTGTACTATACTCCATTAGGACATGAGTGCTGTGGAGAGACCTAACTATAATTCTCCAATGGTAGCCATTTAAGTTTAGCTACCCTAAGAAAGACTGCTACTGCCATGCAGATATTCCAGTGTAGTCTTTCTTCACCTAGATTTTTATTTTCTTGACTTTTTCATTATTGCTTAATTGCTAACATTTCCTTTTGACATGTATTGATCATGCTAATAGCTATAACATGGCCTTTTGTGCCTAGAATTGATGGACTATATTTAATACAAATCTATATGAATCAACAAACAAGTTTATTTAATGATGTTTATTCAAAGGAATGACATTTTCTAGACAGCACTTTTCACATTTGAAATATTGAAGATAAAATGCTAGCTTTAAAAAAAATAAAAATCATTTTAACACTTTATAGTGATTCGCCACATGCAATTTTCCTAAACACTTTATTTTCATAGATAGCTAAGCCACATGTGTCAATCCTATCACCATCACCTACTGAACCAATCTAATCTTGTGTACTATAGACTACCAGAAGTATGAAACAAAGAGTCACATGAATATACCTTTCAAAGTTCAAAAAAAAGAAATTTTTATTTATAAACCCTATATGTTACAAAGAATTAAATTAATAATGAGAACAAACAGAGAAGAGCATTAAATAGAAGTAACATGCCTTTTATTTAACTCCACGAATAGTGTCTTGTGCTTAATAAACATTTTTCTGGCAAAAAAAAAAAAAAGGTACAAGAGGTACAAGGTGACGAGAAGCTATTAACTGTCAAACACAACACTAGATAATAGAGAGAGGTATCACAGAAATTCACTACTGTGAATACACTAACAGGCCTTCTTATAACCTGAGTAAAAGCTTCCGGAGATAGAGCTGATTCCTCTGATCCTGTGTTCACCTAGCAACTTTCTGACTCCTAGCTTAGCTTCTCAGGTACCAAGACACCATGAAAAAGAGGTATTAGAAAGTAATGAGTATTCTAATCAATGAAAAAATATAACCACCCCACTGTCCATTAACAAGCATTGTGGATACAAATCAACTTCTTTCTGAATATGATAACTGGTTCAGGTCCCCAGAGTGGGATCAAACCAGGGCAAATGGATGAAACTACAAAGTTGAAGATGCTAGCCTAAAGAAGTGGTCTCAAACTCCTTGGTTTTGGGATCCCTTTATAACTCTTAAAAATTATAGAGGACTCCAAAAAGTTTTTGTTCACATGGGTTTACTTACCAGTATTTATTATATTGGAAATTAAAACTAATTAAAAATTTAATATCTACTTATTAATTCATTTAAACACAGTAATAAGCCCATTACACAGCAACATAACATTTTCAGGAAGGCAAAGCACCAGGCCTACTGCAGGGGTGTGAAGGAGGCCACAAATTCTGTTTCAAGAGAGCTCTGAGCCCACGGAGTAGACATTATGAGCAAAGCTCGTCGTCTCAAGTCCAAAAAATTACAGACAGGAAGTTACTGAGACTAAATGATGGCAGATATGTCCAAGGAATATTGTGAGGATTTGATCCATTTAGGAATTTTGTGATGTATGTGTGGAGATGGCAACTAGTGGACAACACAACAGTACTGGAATGGTGGTAATACAGGCAAACAGTAACATCATATTAGAAGTCTAGGAATGAGGATAAATAATGGCTGCTCAGCAGAAAAATCCATGTTCCCTCTCCAAGTGATCTGTTTTACTGTGAGGCAAAAATCAGGTCATGTACATTTTCATATTAAATTTTTTGCTAAATAAGCTTCTGTAATCATCAAATGATTTCTGGAAATATAACTAATATAACATACATAAATTTAGTGAGAAGAGGTACACTGATTTTCATTTTCGCAAATCTCTTTTACATCTGCCTTAACAGAAGACAATCATATTGTCATATCTACTTTTATGTTCAATATATAACAATACGTTGTTTTGGTTGAAGTATACAAAGAAAATCTGGCATCACATAAGTATGTAGTTGGAGAAGGGAGGTGCACATTAATAACCTTTTCAGTTAATTGCAGATACCTTTCTCTAACACTATACCAAAACTAAACAAATGGTATTTGCTAAAAGGTTAGTTGAAGTACAGAACCTAAAACTATCAAGCCAGGTGTGTTGGCCAGTGCTTGTAATTTCAGTGCTTTGGGAATCCAAGGCAGGAGGATCACTTAAAGGCCAGAAGTTCAAGACCAGCCTGGGCAACATAAGGCGACTCCATCTCTACAAAAATCTTTTTTAACAAAAATCACCAGGGCGTGTGGCATGCCACCTGTGCTCCCAGCTACTTGGGAGGCTAAGGTGGAAGGATTGCTTGAGCCCAGTAGTTCAAAGCTGCGGTGGGCTACGATCACGCCACTGCACTCCTGTCTGAGCAGCAGAGTGAGACCCCGCCTCATAAATAAACAAACAAAAAATCGTATCAATGAACTTCTATATTCTGTCACATTAAAACCCAACAATCTATCATACACTTTGATTATCAAGCATTGGTCATTTGGAAAATACTGGTTAACTGAGTTATGCACAGATTCTGTATGTTGACACATTTTACCAAACTCTATCAAAAAATAACAATTATTAATGCCACCAATAATCTCAGCAGAAAGATCTTTAAGTACTGAGAAGTTATCAGCTCACAGTGGCCAAGTTTCCCAAAACTCTCATTTTTGTATGAAATCACAAATTTTATCACAAGCAACAGATACTGTCAGTTTTCCTTGAAAAACTTACCATTCATTTTGGAGAAAATACCTACCAAATGCCTAAATCTGATTGATCATAGTTTATCAGTCATTCTCTCAAGTATGATGCTCCATCTTAAGAAGTAGCTGGTCAATGCAAAACTCAAATAATTGCACGAAAGCTTTCCCTTGACACAAGGGAAGTGATTCATGTATACCTGCCATTTTCTCTCATAGAACATTAAAAAGACATGTATTAAAGGGTCAAAATTTCACACAAGTAATCATTTTTACTTTTTTTTTTGTTTTTTTTTTTTTTTTAAGAGTCACTCTGTTGCCCAGGCTAGGGTACAGTGGTGCGATCTTGGCTCACTGCAACCTCCACGTCCCAGGTTCAGGTAATTCTTGGGCCTAAGCCTCCTGAGTAGCTGGGATTACAGGTGCCCGCCACCATGCCTGGCTAATTTTTGTATTTTTATTACAGATGGGGTTTCAGCATGTTAGCCAGGATGGTCTCGAACTCCTGACCTCAACTGATCCACACGCCTCAGCCTCCCAGAGTGCTGGGATTACAGGGCATGAGCTGCAGCACCTGACAAATTTTTACTCTTTCATCACAGACATTCTTAAGGAAAATCTAAGGTTTTGTCTTCTGAAGAATACAACTACCAGAGTTGTTTGCTGTTACTGCCTTGATTCGTGCTAAGGCACCACCAGCAGTTTTATCCCTAATTGCTTTTGCATCATCAGTACAAATGTCAACAAAGTTGAAAAAGGCAAATAATGTCTTCATATTTTATAAAAATAGTTTTTTTGACTTGTGGGATCTCCCGAAACGGTCGAAAAGACCCACCCCACAACCCTACTCCCTTGATGGTTGCAGACCATACTTTGAAAACTGCTGGCCTAACGTTTGTCAAGGGAGTATCAAACAAACAGAAATCTGCCCACTGGAAAGTGATGCCTGGAACAGCCACATGGCTTTTTCATCACAGAGATTTCTTTCAGCTGCAAAGATAGGGGCTCCCTACCTGGGAAGGCAATGGATTTATGCAGCCAGCTCAAAATCTTTATATGGAGTTAAATACTTCACCTACAACTTACATCTTCTTCTTATGGAATAACATGAAATAAATTTCTGCCTACAGTGGAAACTATTTTATAGGTCTCCAAAAATCCAACACTTTTTTTCCTCTCTAGGCTAAACAAATCCAGTTGCTTTAACCATTCCTCATTTACAGAATCCTCTGATTTAGCCCCATCCCAACCACCTTCCTCTTGCAATGGCTCCAGTTTTTTAAGTCCTTCTTAAAACAAAGCTTTCTAAAATGAGCACAACACTCCAGATATCTCTGATGAAGATAAAGGCAACTGAAACCATTAATTTTCCTGATCTGGGTACAATCCTTCTGTAACATAGCCTCGATACCATGTTAGCTTTATTAGTCACATACCAAAACATCCAGCTCTTTTCCACTCACAGTACTGAGAAGCCCTATTTCCCCCTTCAATATCTACCAACCAATTTTTTTAAAAACCTCAATGCAGGACTTCACATGTATTCGTATTAAATTCTGCCCAGTTTCTGACATACACAGACTAATGATAATCTTTGGGAAATTTGGGTCTACCATAAATACTCGCTGTCCCTCTCAGCTTTTTTAATCAACTTCATGAAGATTTTATAAATGACTTCTTTCTCATTATCTAAGACTTTTGTTATTGCTTCTAATCAGCAAGTATTGAATAAGATAAAACTACAGGGAGAGCCCAGTGACCTAAAACTGCAGCTCATCATTCTGGTTCAAACAACTCAATGAAGATCCACTTAGGTATATAATCCCCTAACACACACCCTATGTAACACACTCCTATTTCATATAAGTTAAAATTCTACATAACTGCTTACTTCTAATCAATGACTCTAAAAAAGAACCCAAGAGTTCTTTTATAAAATGAAAGAATCACATTTCCGGATGTAAAAAATTCAACCAGATGAGAACACTAGCATATGATTCACCCCAGCTAGCTATACTGAGAAAGGTCACGTCAAACTGCCACTGCATTGTTCCAGGTAGCCTGCTATGTCACTGCCGCAGATATTTTTTTGGCCATATATCTCAGACTATCTGAAAGGACTGCCTCTTCCAGGTTTCACTCTCTAGAAATGAGAAACTTCCTGTTTTCCGTAAATGGTTACAGAAAATGCAAGTATATTTTATACAGTTTAAGTCTCTTTCTATTCCACATTAGTTACTTCATCGGGAATGCTAACAGCATGTACCTCCAGGCAACACAGCATAGTGAAAAGTGTTGAAGGCAAAAAGTCCTACAGTTCTAGCTTCTTTGCCACTTAAAAATGAGTGACCTTACGCTTTCACTTTGCATCTGCATGACTTATCTGTCAATTTGTGGGAATCGCGACAGACTCAGAAAATTGCATATTTCATAGCATTACGGTGAAGAATAATCGAGATTATATATATGAAAATAACCTCATAACCTGGTTGGTACAAGCAAAGTCCTCAATACAGATTAGTTTCCATCCTTCCTGCCACAGTGTCTTGCAAGGAATAAGCACTCCCACACTGTAGCATTATGTTCCCTTCCAACCCATTTAAGACAAAAAAAAAAAAAAAAAACAAGTACTATTCCGTGCTATACAACAGATAAAAGTTGTCACTCCCAGTCCAGGAGCTAAGATGTGTCACAGAAGACATTACATACTGTGAAATAACAGATCAGAAAATACACCTTGCTTATTTTAGGATACAAGTGCATGGCACACTAGAACAACTCAGGAAAAAAAAAAAAAAAGTCTGCCAAATTGGTGATTCTATATCATCAATCTAAAAAAACTATCACTCATGGAAAAAAGACATAAAGTATAGGTTTAAGAATAAAATATTTTCAATCAAAAACTCCTTTCTCATGTTTAAAAAATGACATTACTACTTTAAAATAAAAACTTCAATGGCTAAATATAACTTGACCAGGTATGGCACTGTAGGTTTTCTTCAAATGAAACTATCACATGTATCAATATATATAAAACCATTACAGACAGAGACAAACTCAAGAAACTATGTTGCAGTGATCCAGAGACAAAGGTAAGGACATAGATAGGACTTACTGTATTTTAATAAGGCACAGGACTGTCTTATTTTAAGATGACAGTATATAAATCAATAAAACGGGCACTTTATAGCATAAGAAAAATGTGTTATAATGAAAAATAATTATACATTTTTGTTTTATAGTTCTATTAAACTTGTCTCCTTTCCTTGCAACAGTGGTAAAAGCATTTCAATCCGAGATGTTTAACATACTGCAATTCCTTTCCTCAACTGCCTTACAGAGCATGCATTTGCTGGATAACAAAACGAGAAATTCACATAAGTTGCCTTAATTTATAAGGAATCAGGAGCACAAAGGACTATCCACATGAAAGGTCGACTGGGTAAATATTCTCATATTACACCATAAAGGAGAAACAGAAGAATGGAAAAGCCAGGATAACCCAGTGCAAACATGTATGTTAAATCTGAGCTTTGGGAGGCCAAGGCGAGAGGACACCTTGAGGCCAGGAGTTTGAGACCAGCCTGGGCAACATAACAAGATGCCCATCCCTACAAAAAAGTAAAAATTAGCCCAGTGTGATAGCACTGTAGTCCCAACTACTTGGGAGGCTGAGGCAGGAGGACTGTTTGAATCCAAGAGTCCAAGGCTGCAATGAGCTATGATCATGCCACTGCACTCTAGTCTGGGTTACAGAGCAAGACCCTGTGTCTATCAATCAATAAAAATAAAAACTCAAAAACTTAACCCCAAATTTTCAGGCAAAAGTTAACAGAAGTACTACACATTTTAAAAGGCAGTAACCGAAAGAGACGAAGGTTTCTTAGTGACTAAGCAGAGAAAGTACCAGTCACAACTGTAGAAATTAGAAGCCGTCACATAAGATGCAAGGTTTCTTTTGGATAGATAAAATGAACAAATTAAAAGAAATTCAATTTAACTGCCCAAGGGTAAATGATAATTCTAAGACACAAACACCTGAAAGAGTAATAGGTAGAGAGACACTGATTCATTTAAATGATCAAAACTATCCATTTTCTATGTAAAAGCTAGAGCTACATCTAAAAAGAATTAGATACAATATTTACAAACTCGTTTTTGTTTTGTTTTTTTTTTTTTACTGGGAAAAACAAAAAAGGTTTGGCTAAAGGAACCTAAGGTCAAAGCATATCTGACTATTCGATTTTGCTAACAGATAGGCCCCATAATGACTAAGTTTCTCCAATCCAGATTTTGGTTAAAATATTGATGCCTATGGGATAACTCTATGGGATAGTTGTTACTAGCTGCCAACACCTATCTGAACAGATTACAAATTTAGCTTCTAGAGTTGTCTAAGTGAATGTCAGTCTATCATGTAAGATAAAATACATGTGTAAACTTGCATGTATGAAAACCCAGCCAGGCACAGTGGTTCACGCCTGTTATCCCAACATTTTGGGAGGCCACCACAGAGGGAAGATCACTTAAGCCCAGGAGTTGGAGACCAGCCTGGGCAACATAGCACAGTGGGACCTGATCTCTATAGAAAACTAAAAATTAGGCGGGAGCAGCGATGCGAGCCTGCAGTCTCAGATGGCTGAGGCAGGAGGATCACTTGAGCCCAGGAGTTAGAGACTGCAGTAAACCATGATCACACCACTGCACTCCAGCCTGAGCAACAGAATGAGATCTTGTCTCCAAAAAAAGAAAAGAAAATACATAAATATATTCACACACAAAGATGTTAGCTGCTGTCTCTGCCAAAAAATAATTTAAGAAAAAAAAGAGTATTAAGACTCCATAGAGTTTATATAATTTACCCCAAGAAAACCAGCACCTTCCCGCCAAAAGTGTTAAGATTTATCTCAAGCAAGATTTGGGTCATGACTAAATTCCATTTGAAATAATTTCAATACATATTAACAAATATTTCCTGAGTCCCCTATTATGTGAGGTTTTTATAAAGGTATAATCACTCCACAGGGGAAACATACCCACACCCCCTTCCCTGACCCTAAAAACATTCTTAAAAAGCTTAATTCTGACGAAAAAAGAATATTGTAGGTAGAGGTAACAACAAAAACTAAGACACTGAAGTATCTGAATATGCAACAAAGAGAAAAATTTAAACGGCATGCTGAGAAGTTTCTACTTTTCTAAATAAAATGGAGTTCAGTTTCTGAACCCAGGAATATTGAGACCTTAACTTTTAAGAAACATTAACTCTTCAGGTTACCTGAAAGATGCAGATTAGAGACAGAAAAGGCTAAAAACAAGGAGACAAGTCAGGACGTCCTTGATGAGGACCCAGAAAAGCAGGTATGAGAAGGAAACAGAGCAGCATACTAAACATTAGAGAAGGAGAACTGGCAGAACTTTAAGTAACTACAGTTACAAGTGAAGAAAGAAGGAGGAATTCAAACATGGGTAAATAACTGAGAAATGATGCCGTTAAACCTTGACAGGAAACACAGTAATGCATAATAATAATAGGAGGGTCATTAATAAATGCAGATGATTAACAAAATCATGTCAAATATGAGATGGTGAAAAATTCATATGGAAGAGTCCAACATAATATCGAAAATATCAGAATGGAGCTCAAGAAAACAGTCTGGCTAGAGATGGTATCAAAAGTCTCGATCCCAGACAGGCAACCAGGGAAGCTATGGGAGTGGAAGAGACCACTGAAAAATCAAGTGGAGTGAGAGGAGAAAAAAAGTGGATCAGGAATAAAACTGGATAAGGACTCACTACCTGTGTAACAGAAAGAAAGCTAGACTACCTGGAAAGGAATCCCAGATCTACCACTTAACCTGTGTGAACTTGGACAAGTTCCTTAAGCTTCTCGTGCTTTGGTTTTTTCACATGTAGAACAGGGATAATAGCAGACCATCCTTTATACTGTTGTTGAATTAAGTCATTTTGTCTTCATGTAACCCACATGTAAAACATTATAGAAACTAAGGCTCACATGTAAAGTACATATAACAGTGTCTGACTTACACTAAGGCTCAATAAATATAAGCTCCCATCATCATCATCATCATCATCATCAAAAAAGAACAGTAAAAGGCAGAGAAACAGAAGAGTAGCAAAGAAAAAGGGTGAACAACAAGAGGATATGAAGAATGTAAGCTGAATTTGATGAAGGCTAAGAACTGGCCTTGGACAGGGCCTTTGACTGTAGTCTCAGTAGGTTAGCAAGGAAAAAAGTGAGATTGCCAAGGGTTGAGGATAAGCAGAGGCAACAACAAAAGTTATCTCTGGAGAATTTTGAAAACCAAATGGAAACATGATAGAGCCTTAAGGAGCAAAGGCAAAGAAAAAAATTCAGCTGAAGGACCAAAATGGTATGGATCAAGAGAAAGAAGCCAGTGGGCCAGGAAAATAGAAAACAGATGAAACAAAGACATGAAGGAATTGAGAAAAAGCAAGGGGGAGGAAGGGGAGGCAACCAGTTAACTCAATGGCTCTGACCTGTGGTACATATGCAGAATCGAGAACTCAGCCAAAAAAAAAAAAAAAAAAAAAGGTAAATTTCTTGAATTTGTTTATGTGCCTGGAGTATAAGATAGCCATTCCATATACACTCCCTCATCCTCAAATTCTTAAATACTGCAATAACTTGGTTAAATTAGCTTCTATTGCATTTTTGTTAATTGGGTAAATTTTTATCTAAGTATCCAAAAACACACATACAAAAAAGTACAGGTATGTTAAGGGTACAGTTCAATTAATTTTCACAAAGTGAACACACCTGTGTAATGAGTACCCCCCTCCCCCACTCACCAACACCGAAATCTTGAAACAAAATCAACTTCCTAGAACGCTAAGTCACCTCCCTCATGACCCCTCCCCAGGCACTACTCCACAGTAAGCGTATACATGATCCTGACTTCTATTATCGTAAGTTAGTTTTGTCTGTGTCTAAACTTTATACAAAAGAAATCAGAATACCACTTGTAAAGAAGCAATCCTCAAGACCATCACAGCAATTCAAAATCTTTCCAAAGCTAGGCATTGAGTCTCTGTCTCAGAAATATTCTTAGGTAAAAACAAATTTCACATAATTTATGTCCATCTTGACCATTACTCATCTGTGTCTCCCCAATGAAATACTTTTCTCTGTCCCTAAGTAAACCAAGAAACATCACTTTGCCTTAAATCTCAGTCATTTCACATGAAAGTTTCTCAAATAATAATGCTATTTATATAACTTTAAAATTACACTTTACATTGATATTATTTACTTGGTACCTAATCATACTATTCTTAACTGTTTTTAAGATAGGCCTCTTTCATTAATGATTATCTACCTGAATAGCTGTTATTAAAAACATACAAAAAGGTAAATCTGACCTATGAGGAAAAAGGTAACACATTAAAAGAGTTCACTGTCATACTCAGAAAAAAGTCAGTGTAAGGAAAAGTATTTAGTAACAACAATCTTAAATCTGTAATATCAATTCCTTCTTTGGAATTCCCAAGAAACAATTTTTTTTTAAAAGACAGAATCTCACTCTGTTGCCCAGGTTGGAGTGTACAGTGGCACAATCACGGCTCACTGCAGCCTCAATCTCCCGGGCTCAGGTGATGCTCCCCTGTCAGCCTCTCAGGTAGCTGGGACTATAGGTGCACATCCCAATACCCCGCTTTTTTGTTTGCTTGTTTGTTTGTTTGTTTGTTTGTTTTGGTAGAGACTGGGTTTCACCATGTTGCCCAGGCTGCTCTCGAACCCATGGGCTCAATTTGACTGTCTCAGCCTCCCAAAGAGTGCTGAGATTACACCACGCCTAGCCTCCCAGATACAATTGTTAATAGAAGTCACAGAATTTTCAGCATCAGTTCCATAGATATGTATTATGTATATGATGGTTAGCTATGAGAGTACTCTCTGATACTCAACCAAAGACTGGTAAAAGTATTTTTTATATTGAAAATTTGCAGAAATCTGTTTGTACTCTTTGGCAAATAATTCCAATTTTTTCATAATTTGGAGGAGCCAGAGTCCTAAGGACTTGCGGAGCAAACTCTTCTTTGAATTGAACTGCAAAGCTATGTACCAGACAATTCTGAAAATTAAAGTCAATTTTGGAGCTTAGTTCAACTGCATAACTATGAAAAGCTATGCATAATCATTTAAAATGAAAAACAGCAATTTCCCTATTCATGTTAAAAGTATCCAACATACAAACAGAAGAACATGAATATATCTTTGTTAGTAGCAAAATGAACACTCTAATCCTGTGATACTTCTGCACTGTTCTTACAACCCACTTGCCTTGTCTTCACCTCACAGTAAAGAATTAGGTCTGTCTTTATTTTCCTCCCACTAGCCTCTTGACAAAGGACAGTGTCTTAATCAACTTAAGCAGTATCCAGCAAATATTGGGAATTACAAAATATTTTTGCTGAATTGAACTGAATATTCATTCGCTTCTAAAATATTGTGACTGCTTAGAGTCTGCAAGACAGTTTGACATGAGAAATTAATCTAACATCTTTTTAAGCACACTCTGAATATAAAGAATGTATTAGAGATTATATAGTTACACCGTTAGCAAATCAAAGTGTATTAGAATGAATTTGTGCCATGAATTCATGTTTCCCCTACCCATTTTGAATAGTGTATTCTAATTTTCTCCACTGAAGCTGCATTTTGAAAATATATTCACAAATATAACTTCTGTATAAAACAAAAGTAAATAGGAAACAGTGAAAGCAGCATAGTTATTCAAACTGGAAAGGTACTGAATAACTCTGGTTATACTTTTTAATGAATTAAATCCAAAGTTAAGAACTTCTTACCACAAAATAATTTAAAATTTGACGATTTACGTGTGTGTGTGTGTGTGTGTGTGTGTGTGTGTACACAATTTTTTTAAAGGGGAATATTTTGGTGTCAATAAATACAAGAGATTATCTTTTTCTTCCTTAATTTATGTTACAATATAAAATCTGGGCCAGGCACGGTGGCTCACGTCTATAACCCCAGAACTTTTGGAGGCCAGGGCAGGAGGATCACTTAAGCTCAATAGTTTGAGACCAGCCTGGGCAACATAGTGACACCTCATCTCTACTAAAAATCAAAAAAATTATCAGGCATGGTGGTGCACACTTGTAGTCTGTAGTCCCAGCTACTTGGGAGGCTGAGGCCGGAGAAGCACGTGAACCGAGAAAATAGGGACTGCGAGCTATGATCATGCCACTGCACTCCAGCCTGGGCGACATTCAAGACTGTCTCCAAAAATAAACACTCTATGAAGGTATTTCAAAGTGGTGTCAGATAATGGGGACATTCAGATACCTGAGCAGTGAATAACCTTTTTTTTTTTAAAGGTTACAAGAGAAAAGAATAGAAGAAAGAAAAAAAGAGAAGGGAGGAGAACTAAAGAGATGAGGGCAAAGTCTTACATACAACCCTACATGGATGGATATGGCCATTCTCCATGGGACAGTGCCTCATTAGATAATTAGTAGTTGTTTGCCCAAATACAATCAGCTATATTCTGAGTCTGTGACCATGTCTATTAAAAGGAGTGTAAGTAACTACCTGAAAGAACTGTAAAAGATTCCAGTGACATACAAATAACACCAGTAAGATGCTGGTCACGTCTCATAAATGTGAATTTCCTTTATTTGAGTATCTATACAATCCAAGTGACTTACTTTGTGGTGTTTCGCATTTCAAAATTGTTGCAATTAATTAAGCTACAAGGAAAAGGTGAAAAGATTTCACCTTTATCACTGTGGCTCGACGACACTGTCTTGGTACTGCTGGCATCCAATGGCAGGGGCCAGAGATGACGCTGAACACCCTACAATACACAGGACAGACAGCTCCACAAACAACATCCAGCCCAAATGTCAATACAGGTTGAGCATTCCAAATACAAAAATCTGAAATCCAAAGTGCTCCAAAACCCAAAACTTTTTGAGTGCCAACATGATACCACAAGCGAAAAATTCCACATTTGACCTCCTATGACAGGCTGCAGTAGTCAAAACTGTTTCATGCATACAATTATTTAAGATGTTGCATAAAATTAACTTCAGGTTGTATGTATAAGGTGTATATGAAACATAAATAAATTTCATGTTTTGACTTGAGTTCCATCCCCAAGACACATCATTATGTATATGCAAATATTCCAAAATCTGAAAAAATCCAAAGTCCCAAACACTTCTGGTCCCAAGCGTTTCAAATAGGGGACACTTAACTTGTAGTGCCACAATTAAGAAACTCTGGCAGAGATGAAGTATCCATGCTCTTAAGTCCCTCCAGATCTACACGAGATCCCGCCCTCCTCAACTACTAAAAGACACAGTGCCTGCAATTCTAACTGCTCACTACTGCATCTACTTGTCTACAAAAAAGGTAGAATCTTGATTAAGTGGTTTCAGTAGATTTTTATTTAAAGTGATACACAGTAAGATATCTAAAGTATCAATTAAATCTAAATGGCTAGTCAAAGTTGTAACAGTTCTTCCTTACTATATAATTACATTGTTTATATGTGATAGAAATTTCTGAGGAACTTGAAAATGAGTTATTTCTCTCTCTCTTTTTTTTTTTTTTTTTGAAATGCAGTCTTGCTCTGTCACCCAGGCTGGAGTGCGGTGGCATGATCTCAGCTCACTGCAACCTCTGCCTCCCAGGTTTAAGCAATTCTCCTGCCTCAGCCTCCTGAGTAGCTGGGATTATAGGTACACGCCACCATGCTAGGCTAATTTTTGTATTTTCAGTAGAGACAGGGTTTCACCATGTTGGTCAGGCTGGTCTCAAACTCCTGACCTGGTGATCCGCCCACCTCAGCCTCCCAAAGTACAGGCATGAGCCACCGCACCCGGCAAAATGAGTTACTTCTTAAACAGAAAACAGTCCCCTCGAAATCTAACCTGTACACATCCTTTATAAATCATCTTTAAAAAAAAAAAAGTCGGCAATCCAAGTTTTACAAAAGAAACAATTATCATTCAAGTATTTAATCTTCTGTTCAAGAACACACAGGACATCGCCAAACCTAAATTTCCTTTGCATGCCAGCCAACTGGAATCTGGTACTGGCAAGTTACATAACAGGAATACATAACACTCTTTACTATCATCTCAATTATTTCTTTAAGGTGAATCAAAGTTTGTTTTTTTGTTTTGTTTTGAGACGGCATTTCACTCTTGTTGCCCAGGATGGAGTGCAATGGCGTGATCTCGGCTCACCGCAACCTCCACCTCCCGGGTTTAAGCAGTTCTCCTGTCTCAGCCTCCGGAGCAGCTGGGGTTACATGCCACCATGCCCGGCTAATTTTTTCTGTAGTTTTAGTAGAGACGGGGTTTCATCATATTGGTCAGGCTGGTTTCGAACTCCTGACCTTAGGTGATCTGCCCACCTCAGCCTCCCAAAGTCCTGGGATTACAGGCGTGAGCCACCACGCCCTGTCATGAATCAAAGTTTTAACTAATGATTGTGAGCTGCAACAAAATGGGAGAAACCTTAAGATTACATTTCTTCAAACTATGATTTTGTTTAAAATTGGAGCACTACAAGAATCTCACAACAAAATTTTCTTTTGATTGCTTGCTTAAACATACTCCAACTTCCAATGCTGAGACCTAAAACCATATTGCAAACTGCTGTTTCCATAGTGAAGTCTGTGGAACTGGAAAACTCCACAGGTCCAACCACCTTTCACTATTCTCCACTTGCCTCATGCCTTCTCCCTTTCAATTCTATTGCCAGTCATTGTAATCACTCCTGTGCACATGCCCCCACCTTCCTTGACCCTCTCTCATCTAAATCCAACTCACAACCTAATCTATGCCTGAACCTGTGCTGTTGAATATGGTTAGAAAAAAACCCAAACCCATTCAAACTGGTCTTACTTTAATAACCAAAACTCAAGTGGGCTCTTGACATCGTGCAGAAATCAAATCACACTTCCCTAAGCCCTTCCCTTAGCCACTCTCCTCCAAAACTAACCATTTTCTTAGGCATTCCCCACAAATCTCTGACACTTCTCCTATCTTTGGTCTCAACTGATGACCTTCCTTCCTTTTTCAATGACAGAAACCACTGAAAGAGAAATGCCACATTCCACATCTAACACCTATCAGCCTCTGTACTCCATACTCTCTCTTTTCTCTTACACTAGAGAAGATATATCCTTGCTGTTACCTGTTGCCAGTGCCCTACACTTCTGTACTGTTTCCCATTTGCTACAGCTTACTGAAGAACACTGCTCCAGCAATTCTACTCTCTCACTCTCTCTTTCTCTCTGACATGTCAATTTCTCACTCTCCACTGTATCAATACCAACACAAAACAAGTGAAAAAGTAGAAGGGTGATAAACTTGGAGACCCAAAGAACACAATTTGGAAACTAATGGACTCTAACATATATTACATGTTTACTCTCCCCACCCCAAAATCCTAGCCACAATTCAAGGACGCCCTCCCACCTCCCACCTGAAGTTCCTGCAGGACACTTCCAGAGCACTTTGATCACCCTGCTAACACACTGCTCTTCATGTGCTACACAAAGGTATGCAGCTTATCTCCCCTCTTGAGATTTTAAGCTACTTGAGGTGAAAGACTGTTTTAGTAACCACACAGCAGACAGGCAGTGAATGTTAATCAAAAGAAAGAATGAATGTATTTTTGCATGTATTTCTTAAGAGTTTACAAATTTGAAAAAAAAATGACCAAAAATTGCTTCGAGAAAAGCTGATTTAAATGTACCAAAGCCACATTTTAAAAGGATCAGAGAGAAATTTGAAAACAACGGGAGTCCAGAACTGACAGCAGTTTATAACAACTCCTTACCTGAGTCTAAAATACTGGGAAATAAATTCACAGTGGTTAAAGCTACTCTGCAGATTGTATGTGTGCCAAAACTTGAGTTTTACACAAACCATGCTGTGGCCAAATAAACAGTACAGTTTTCAATTCGAACATCACCTATGAGCAACTTCTTCAGTTCAGTGATGCTCAAATATCAGACTCATCAGCTACACTTGAAAAGGCAAATTTATAACGTCAATCTGTAAAACTGAGTTAAGGTATGAAAGAGTATTATAAAACATATCAAAGTAAAATGACTAGTATTACCAAGAATGACATCTGGTTTTAAAATATCAAATATCAAATTTCTGAATATCTCCTTATAAAATCCTAAACTGACAATTCTTAGCATCTATAAACAAACATGTATTTTGATACTAAGACCATTAAATCAACTTTGTATCACAAGCAAAACCCCCTTTAAGGTGAAATGTCATTTTTCAAAGACAAATATTTCAACATGCTCACAATATCTGTTTATTTTTAAAATTTCATAGAATTCAATGAAATTAGGTAGCACTGCATTTTTAGAGGCAAGCAGGGAAAAAATCAACATCAGATTATTTCCCTGAGTCATAAATTCTTGTGTAGAAAAAATGGTGTGTGTGTGTGTGTATGTGTGTGTGTGTGTGTGTGTGTAAAATGAGATTTTAAAAAAATGTGTGTATATATAGATAGTGGCTTCCCTGACAAATAGATGACTGTCTTTGAGATAATCAGGTTACAATGAAATTCTGAGGTTTGTACATTACACTTAGTGGAAGCCAGCAAAGCTCCAAATACAGTTTACAAACCACCATGCCAACCTCCCTTAAGCCTCATTTAAGAAGGATTACCACCTACAATCTATCCTCACTGTGCCACTGTTTCAGTGGTGAATCCAATGAACTGATTTTAAACAAACATGAGGTTTCAACAAATGTACTATTCATTAGCTACAGAGAACACAATGAAGAAGGCTACTTCAGAAAGGCAGAAACCCTCTGGTAAATTTGCCACAATCTTTAGTTAAACCTTAAACTTTAGGATAGTTACAATCAATCTACAGTAAATTCAGTGGATGATATTCTATTACAATATTAAATGAAAGCAGAAGTAAACTAGCAGTTACACAACATATATAGTATCCAAAATAAAGTTTTTTTAAGTGCATAAATGGAGACTATACTTTCAAGAAATGTGGAGTTTGTACAACAATGAAGAGAGGGATGTGTTTAGCTAAGTGGCAACTAGACAATGTCTCACTTTGAATCAAATCTGTCACTGAAATGAAGTTTTCCAGGAAACAATAAGAATAAAAAAACTTTAGGCTTGTTCAAAGAAACATAGCTTAAGAAAAAATTTTGTGGCAAATCCTCAAAATGCCAGTAAGGTAACAATAAATCATTTATCCAACCTAGAATGTGAACAGTCTACGGAGATGTCAATTATACCAGATCTCTAAGTTGCAGGTTTGAACTACTTTTCTGATGTCAAATATTCACCCCACTAAAATAAATTTTAAAAAATCAATAAAAGCCATTATTTTGATTTAAATCACATATCTAAAAACCATTAACTATTTATCACTTGAATTGGCATTCTCAGTTTTACAAGAGAACCAAAAGTCATTTCTATTAAAGTTTCAATATAGGTTATGGCTTATTTGACAATCACTACCAAATATTTATGACCTATGCCTGTTGGAAATAGTATTGTGCATGGTGGTGGAATTTTTCACAAGGATCCAGTGTTTGGGTTTCAAAAGAATACATTTAGAAATATATTCACAGGAAGTGTCTGTGTTAATGAATCATAGACATTCTAAGAAAATCCAGGCATCTAAAATGTTTGTTTCATACAGCAACAGACAGCAAACCACATATATTATATCCAAGATGTACACCAAGAAATTTTAACAAACATCTTTATTCTCAAAGCGCCTCATTTGATAAAAATTCGTAACTAGTAAAAATCAGGATTTATTTAATCAAGGTTTGAAAGACCACAAAATCTTTACTCACCTACAAAGTGGTCAGTAGAAAGCAATATTATTGGATAACCAAAAGAAAACCAAAAAGAAACACCTTTCTTATTTTTAAAAATATATACTAATTAGAATACGAATAACAAGACCTACTTGATCACTATAACACAAGTTCATTCTTTTTTTTTTTTAGTCTACATTTCAGAGGAGAGAGGACACGAATTCATTCTTGAAGTATAATTTCCAACACAAAATTTTACAAGACTCTAAAAGATCTTTGTAAGACTATAACTGCTATTAGGTAATACCTGACGAAAATCAACAGGACTGCTGACCATGACATTAACAACATGCAGAATCCAAAATTCCTTAGCATACTACTCAAAGCCCTCGGTAATCTGGTCTCATTTCACCTTATTGATCTATTTCCTGATACGGCACATTTAATTTCTTAGAAAAATATCAATTTTTTTCATCACATGCTTTTCTTTTCTTTTCTTTTCTTTTCTTTTCTTTTCTTTTCTTTTCTTTTCTTTTCTTTTCGAGATAAGAGTCTCGCTCTGTCACCCAGGCTGGAGTGCAGTGGCGCAATCTAGGCTCACTGCAACTTCCGCCTCCCTTCAAGCAATTCTCCTGCCTCAGCCTCCTGAGTAGCTGGGATTACAAGCATGCACCACCATGCCCAGCTAATTTGTTTGTATTTTTGGTAGACTCAGGGCTTCACCATGTTGCTCAGGCTGGTCTCGAACTCCTGACCTCATGATCTGCCCACTTCGGCCTCCCAAAGTGCTGGGATTACAGGCGTGAGCCACGGGCCCAGCCCATCATATGCTTTTCTTTCTCTATGCTTTTATTCATTCTATTCCCTTCTCCTGAAACAAATACGCTACCTCTTCGTTTCTGCATTTCATCATATACTTCTTTCAAACCTCATCATTTTGAAATACTACCTCCTCCTCAAAGCCTTCTCATTTCCCCAAAGCAGCAATAATTGCTGAATTAACATAGCATAGCTATAATTATTGCATAAAACATCATTTTATATATAGCATTTTATTTAGTTGTGTATCTTCATGTTTTCTCTATCCTACTTGACTGAGAACCCTGCAAACCGATCACATCTGCTGAATGAAAATAATCAACTGATTGAACGTAAAGTCAGAAGAGATTAGACATCAGATTTACAGAAAGAAGCAAAGTTTTCCTACACACACCACTGGGGGAGGGAGGGTGACAAAACACCTGAAGTTCTATACCTGCTTTTTCATTCCTGTTTAGGTGCTTTATTACACAGCAAACTTTTTTTTTCCAGGAATAATTTATTTAGATCCAGTAAGTTAGAAGCCTTAAAATATCATATTTAATTGTCACAGAAATCCTGAGGTAGGCATGTGACACTAAGTCCACTATACAGCCAAGGAAATTAAACCCCAACTGGTTAAGTAACCCATACAACATCTTTACAGTGAGGAAAGTGCAAAAGCTGGTACTAAAGTCCAAGCTTTGTGATACTTGGTTTACTGCTTTTGTTTCACTACACCACTCTGTCCCTGGACAAGCTGGAGCAAAAGGTCAAAACCTAAAACACAAAACAGGGTAGACACAGAAACACTGAAGAGCACAGATCCAATAATAACTTTTATAATTTCCTCTAGTTCTAAAAGTCCATATTTAATGTACCACTGTTGTTCCTCTCAACAGCAACCTAGAAAATGTGTTCCCAAGTCCACACTTTTCCATTCAAAATTCTTTCTATAACTAATCAAACCCATCTTTTCTACTGCTCTCCCAAACAAACCTTCAACTCCAAACAGCTGCTTCCTGCTATGCCGCACACAGCATGTTTATTAATACCCAATGCTTTGTACTCAGGCAGCTAGCACTTTCCTACCCACACTTGCCCCCATGTTTTTTGTTTTTGCCGAACTGCCTTAATGACTCCAGCTCACCGATTCCAGGCTATTACCTATAAAGTGAAATTTTGCATTTTATCATAGCTATAATGTGGGCTATTTTCTCTATGGAAGTCAATACAAAATAGTGGTTAAGACCAAGGACTATGGAGCCAGAGCCCCTCCTCTCTCACTTACGTGTTCTTTGGTTTGAGAGACTACTTGACCTCTCCATGCTTCAGTTTCCTGTCAATCAGCAGGAAATCATAGTATAGTCCCTACCTCACAGTAATGATAAAATGAGTTCATACATAAAAAGTGCTTTAAACAAAGCCTGACACACAAATAATGCTCCTATGTCAGTGTCTATCATTGTCATTTCTTCCAGTATCATGGTTTAATAGATCACCTCAGAACTATAAACTATCCCACAATGCTGGACACATATTGTTTTATGTAGAAGTTATATTTTAGTCATATGCTTTTAAGTCTTTCTCTGCAAAAGTTCAATTTATCAGGTTTTCTCTAACATGCTTATTTTATAATGTACAAGAGTATATCCTAAAATTATATTTCTATAATATAGAAGATATAACTATGCTAATCATAGGGGATGTATAGAAGTGAGTATCTGCTCTATTAAATCTGGAATCTGTACTGATCCAACTGTTCCATTTAATCAAATACCATGCAAACTATTAAGAGCTCCCTCTGACTTTAACAGCCGATTTCCCAGAGAAAGAGCAACTCGCTACTAAAAGATCTTAATAATACACAGGGCCTGGAGGGTACTGCTTTTTTTCTTTTTCTTTTATAAGTTAAAAAAAAAAAAAAAGGCTTTTCCTGTCAACAGAAATCAGTGAAAAGCCTCTTGAACACAGCAAGAAGGTAGGGTTGATTTTAGCCACAATGTAAGTCCCTGCAGAATTTCAGAGTGCCAACAACAGTGTCACTTTTCTCACTCATTCATTGGATTTATTTGTGGTTTTTCAGGACTACGATAATCTGTGCAACATTACTGGCTCCTCACCAGTATTACATTTTACATAACATAATTAACAAATTATTAAAAAAAAAAATCACTGTCATGTCACAGCTGCTATTATTAATCCTGAAAAGAAATTATAAACATAAAGGAATAAGTTAACTATATTATGGCTAACAAAACCAATTTTACATTTCTAAAACCATGTTTTTGAATAGTTTGAGCATAAGTATTCATGTAAAAAAGTACAGGGAAAGAAATCTACACCAAAATTAAAGGATACATTGAAGATCCTCAATTTTCAACAACTTACAAAGAATGAAAACAGTCACAGAAACAGAGTGATCTCAGTTCAAATTTTATATACCCAGCAATATATACAAATGCCAACAAGCTAGGTAAAACGGCAAATGAGTCCCTAGCTAGTAAGGGGAAAAGTAATTCACTTACATTAATTTTCAATTAAGTTTTAGTTTGTGTGAGATAGTCAGAGATTCACATGCAACTGTCAGAAATAATACCAAAAGATTCAGTGTACCCTTAACCCAGTTTTCCCAATGCTAACTCTTCCAAAACCGTAGTACAACATCACAACCAGCATATTGACACTGATATGGTCAAGATACAGACTATTTCCATCACAAGGATGCCTCATGTTCCCCTTTTATAGTTTCACCAACTTTCCTCCCACTTCCACCCCTCCTAAACCCCGACAACTACTAATTTTGCTGTATCTTTGTCATTTCAAGAACGTTACATAAATGGAATCATACACTATATAACCTTTGAGATTTTACTTTCCACTCAGCATCATTTTCTGGAGATTTATCCAGGTTACTGTATATCAAGACTTTGTTCCTTTTGTTACCCAGTAGTATTATATTGTATGGATATACAGTTTAACCTTTCATCTGCTGAAGGAGACCTGGGCTGTTTCCAGTTTAGGCTTTTACAAATAAAGCTGCTATAAACATTACGTATAGGTTTCTGCACAAACATACGTTTTCACTTCTCTGGGATAAATATCCAGGAATACAACTGCTAAATGATAGTTGGCATGTTTTGTTTTTTAAGAAACTCCAAACAGTTTTTATACACCCTCCAGCAACATCCTCTCCAGCATTTGGTGTTGTCACTAATTTTTCATTTTAGTCATTCTGTCAGGTGTGTAATGATAGTTCACTGTAGTTTTAAATGGCAATTTTGGTAAAAACTAATGATGCTGAACATCTTTTTATATGCTTACTTGCCATGTGTACATATCTCTTCGTATCTTTTGCCCATCTTCTAATTGGACTAGTTGGATTTTTTTTTAATACTTTGCGTTGAGAAATCTCTATATATACAAGTACTAGCTCTCTGTCAGACATGCGGTCTGCAAATATTTTTTCCCATTCTGTAGCCTATCTTTTCTTCCTCCCACAGGGGTTTCTTGCAGAACAAAAGCTTTAAATTTTGATAAAGTCCAACTTATCTTTTTATGGATTGTACTTTTGGTATCAGTTCTAAGAACTATAATCCTAGATGCCAAAGATTTCTTTTTCCCAAAAGTTTTATAGTTTACTTATTCCATTCAGTCTGTGATTTGTTTTGAATAAACTTTTGCATAAAGTTTGAGACAGGTCAGGAGACATTGTTTGGACTATGGATGTGCAACCACTCCAATAGCAATGGTTGAAAAGCTGTATGTAGTTTTTAGAGTTATAAGACCTTTGTCAGATTTAAACCTAAAGGGTTTTTTTGAGCAATTATAAATGGTTCTGTATTTTTAATTTTTGTGTACATATGGTCATTGCTAGTATACAGAAGTTCAATTGATTTTGTGTGTTTATTTTGTTGTACCCTGTGACCTTGCTGAACTCACTCATTAGTTCTAGATGTTTTTTTGGGGGGAGGGGAGAAGTTTAAATAGATTCCTTGGGATCTTCCATGTAAACAGTCATGTTATCTGGAAACTGGGACAGTTTTCTTTCTTTCTGATCTGTATGTCTTTTATTTCTTTTTTATGCCTTACTGCACTGGCTAGAACTTTGGTATTATATTGAATAAAAATGGCAAGAGTGGACATTCTTGTCCTGTTCCTGATCTTAGGAAGAAAATTATTCAGTTTTTCACCATTAAGAATAATCTTAGCTATAGGATTTTTGTAGATGCTCTTTCTCAAGTTTTACAGATACAAGTTTATCAAGTTCTCCCACTACAATTTTTCTGAGAGTTTTTAAAATCATGAATGGATGATTATGTTTGATAATCATCAATGGATTATTGTGTTTGATGGATTGTTATGGATTATTATGTTTGATGTTTGAACATGACCTTCTCAAAATTTGCAAAGGAAATTAATGAATTATTGCTTTGAAATAGTTTTCAAGTAGGTTCATTTTTGTTAAGTATGGAACTTGTGAATACAGAAAAATTGCTCACTACATCAAATCTGAATTAAAACACATTCCTCCTTATTATGCAACATATGCCTTACATCAACAGCTTCAAGCCCTATTTTTTTCAGGAAGCAATCCAAAACATTACCATTTAGGCAACCTGTCAAACAATCTCATACTTTTTGTTAAATCAATTAATCAAAACTAAGTACTCCTTTGCATTTCATGCTTTTAAAGGTTTACTTGTTTTAATTACAGTATAAATTGTGATGTACAAGTACTTTTTTAAAAACATGTGAAAACGATACAATTTGACCTTGTCAATCAAAGTATGAGACTTTCCTATCCTGGGATGCTTCTGTTGCTTACCTTGAGGACTGGGGCTGCACACAGTGGCTCATACCTGTAATCCCAGCACCGTGGGAGGCCAAGGCGGGTGGATCACCTGAGGTCAGAAGTTCGAGACCAGCCTGAGCAATATGGTGAAACCCCATCTCTACTAAAAATACAAAAATTAGTCGGGCGTGGTGGTGCGTGCCTGTAGTCCCAGCTACTCGGGATGCTGAGACAGAAGAAGTGCTTGAACCCAGGAGGCGGAGGTTGCAGTGAGCAGAGGTTGCACAACTGCACTCCAGCCTGGGCAAAAGAGCGAGACTCTGTCTCAAAAAAAAAAAAAAAAGAAAAGAAAAGAAAAGAAAATCACTGCTTGGTTCAGTCAAGGAACAGTAATTTCCAAATACTTCAGTATTTGGAATGTAACAGTAATGTCAAATACTTCAAACAAAATTCTACCTTCTAACTATTATTTATTTACAGTTTATTAAGTACATTGGTGCTCTCAAGGATCAGTACTGGGTAACAATAATCAAACTTTGAATTTAAACATGCATCTATTATTTGTGTTTTTTGTTTTTGTTTTTGAGGCAAAGTCTCACTCTGTCACCCAGGCTGGAGTGAAGCAGCCCAATCTTGGCTTACTGCAACCTCCACCCCCTGGGTTCAAGCAATTCTCCTGCCTCAGTCTACCTAGTGGCTGGGATTACAGGCGCCCGCCACCATGCCCAGGTAATTTTTGTGTTTTAGTAGAGATGGGGTTTCACCATGTTGGCCAGGCTGGTCTCAAACTCCTGACCTCAAGCAATCCACCCACCTCAGCCTCCCAAAGTGCTAGGATTACAGGCATGAGCCACAGCACCCAGCCACATGTATCTCTTTTTAACTATCAAATTAAAAAATTAGAATTTTTTTAAGAGCATAGAAATATGCGTTTTGCCAGGCCCGGTGGCTCACATCTATAATCTCAGCACTTTGGGAGGCCGAGATGGGAGGATCACTTGAGCCCAGGAGTTGGAGACCAGCCTGGGCAACACAGTGGGACTCCATCCCTAATTCATTAATTAATTAATTTAAAAATCTACATTTAATTAAAAAGTACTATAGCATCAAAAGTAAAAAAGGCAAATTATTTTCAAATCACCGAGGAACTATCAAAGGGAAGGCAAAGAAGAGAATACACACAAACTATTAATTTTTATTCTACCTAAAATGGTATTAATTATCTTAATGACAATAGAATGTAGTTAAAATGAGTGTGCTAAAATATTAATATCCAAATGCTAGGAAAGCAGATAATGGTTAAATTTTTTTAAGATTTAATGCCCACTAAAACAATTAAAAGAGAGCAATAAAATAAACTTTCAGGGCAACGGAAGGGTGGTGGCTTTTGCCTTTGTACAACCAGTGCCCTGGATCCACATCTCCCTTTCTATGAACAGACCCCATCCCTTATGTAGCCAAGCATTCTCTTGCCTCCCAAATGTCATGGCATGTATGTCAACATTTGAAAACTGCCAACATAGTTGGGGAAATTTAACTGTCTAATATCTGTTAGTTATATTTGTTTTGAAGAAAAATGTAACACAATTTCTAATTGCTTAATCTAAGAGAGTAAACACAGGAGAAAATAAATATGAATATAAATGCAAAAACAAAGCTAATAAGAAATGAAACTTAAAATCTCATTTAAACACATTTAATGAGAGAAATAAAATCTCAGTTAACAATATATACTTTATTAGTATAAAGGTTTTATTCTCTGTAACATCATAGGACTTATTCTAGGGATGCAGTGCATCCTTAAGTCACATTAGACATACCGGAAACATAAATATGTCAAAGTCTTTATACCAACCTACTCAGGAAGCTGGACAGTTCAAGACTCTTCCATTTCCAGGACAATAACAAGAACAATTTAAGGAATAATTAAAAAAACAACCCTGACCCTTATTTCTAATATTCCAATAATCCCAGCACTTTGGGAGGCCAAAGCAGGAAGACTGCTTTAGTTCAGCAGTTCAAGACCAGCCTGGGCAAGACAGGCAGACCCTGTCTCTACAAAAAATTTACAAATCAGGCAGGCATGGGCCGGGCGCCATGGCTCATGCCTGTAATCCCAGCACTTTGGAAGGCTGAGGCGGGCAGATCACCAGGTCAGGAAATCAAGACCATCCTGGCTAACACGGTGAAACCGCGTCTCTATTAAAAATACAAAAACTTACGCATGGTGGCACGTGCCTGTAGTCCCAGCTACTCAGGGGGCTGACAGAGGAAAATCGCCTGAACTGGGGAGGCGGAGGTTCGCAGTGAGCCGAGATCATGCCACTGCACTCCAGCCTGGGCAACAGAGCAAGACGCCTTCTCAAAAAGAAACAACAACAACAAAAAAAACAAAAATTAGGCAGGCATGGTAGCTCACTCCTGTAGTCACAGCTGCTTGGGAGGCTGAAGTGGGAGGATGGCTTGAGCCCAGGAGTTTGCAACTGCAGTGAGCTACGATCATGCCACTGCACTACAGCTTGGACAACAAAGCAAAATCCTGTCTTTAATAATTTTAAGTTTTTAACCTGAAGCTTATTTATTTTAGAAATAATCAAAAATATTTTTCAATGTAATAGAAGTACTATATTGTCCATGCTTTGTCTTAGGAACAAAACATCTAAACTTTAAACTCAAGCACAAATATCAACTGAGAATAGGTCTACATATTAACTTACTGTTTTAGAAGTACTTGAAATGTGAGTCATCTAATTATTTTTCGGTATTTCCAAAAAAATTCTCAAGTAGTTTATCTAAATGCATTGTCAAATCTGGTCAAGATGAAGATTTAGTGTAAAGTAGAAATCTCTCAGAAAAAAAAAACTCCTAATAATCACTAATACCTCGCTATTTTTGTTTAAAAAAAAAGGTAAGAATTTCTAATTACTAATAATCAGAGTCCCCAAAATCAAAGGAAAAAGCACAAAGAAATGAAAACCACATATCTGCTTCTCTAGAGAAAGGAAATCATCATGGGAATAGTAGGAGTCACAATCAAGAATCACATCCAGTCCAAAGAATGTAACTCACAAGTAAACCGATCACTGTACATCAGTCTCCTAAGAAATACCTTTATGAATGAACTCAATGAGAAGCTAGTCAAAGATTAAAGCTGATCAAAGTAGTTAGCAAAAAGACATTAACAAAGTTCAATTTCACTATTAAAAAGCTCCAATTAACTTTCCAGCCTTTCAGCAATTTACAAAACTTTACCAGAACCTAAATAAGTTTACTCAATCAGAATATTTCCTATCTCCAATTTTTAAAGATGTAGATGTAAATGACAAAAGAAGAGAAGATGACGGAAGGGTATTTAAAAAAACAAAAAACAAAAAAATAACCCTGTCTATACCCACACCCCTACTTCTTTTTTTCTTTTGAGACAGAGTTTCGCTCTTTTTGTCCAACCTGGAGTGCAATGGTGCAACCTCGGCTCGTCGCAACCTCCACCTCCTGGGTTTAAGCGATTCTCCTGCCTCAGCCTCCTGAGTAGCTGGGATTACAGACTTGCACCACCACGCCCAGCTAATTTTGTATTTTTAGTAGAGACAGGGTTTCTCCATGTTGGTCAGGCTGGTCTCAAACTCCCGACCTCAGGTGAGCCACCCACCTCCGCCTCCCAAAGTGCTGGGATTACAGGCATGAGCCACCACTCCCAGCCACCCCTACTTCTTTTTAAGTACAGGGTATTTCCTAATCATAGTAAAAATCATTCAGGACTACTTCATCTACAAATCCTCAATCCATCTGATCAAATTCACCTTAACCACATTCAAAAGCATCACGAAAATATTAAGCCCACAATGCTAAATAAACTTTGGCTGAACTGCATAAAGAGAAATATTTATATGTTCTAGAGAATATGAAAAGATTCACAAGATTGTTTAAAAAATCAAAAGCTTGTTAAAAATAAAATATGACTGAAATATAATAAGCTAGAAATAATTTTTTTAATTTACTGGAACTTCCAATCAAGATGGCATCATAAATTGCTTTGAAAACCCACCCTGTTTCAAATACAAAGCAACAACAGGCAAAATCCTGGAGAAGACATTTTAAAGACCTACCTAACTAAAAAAGACCAGCATCACCATGAAACAGAAATATGTAACAGAGAGTGGGCAGAAGGTATAGGGCTGCTAGGCTCTGGTTTCAGAAGGAACCAGTGAAGGCCTAGGTTTCAGATCCTATAGAAACAGGAATAAAAGTGGCCCACCTAAGATAAGGGACTGAGGCCGAAATTGGGCTGAAAACAAACTGCTACTAACAGCTGCCTGGGGGTAAGTAAGCTGTGTGGACTTTCAGGAAGTATGTCTTCTCAGAAACTGAGTGCCTAGGAAAGTGAGAATACTAGGGCTTCAGCCACACTATCCCACTGCCTGGCCAACTGGAACAAAGATGCAGGTGTATCTACCATCAGTGGGAGACAAGTGCCCTCTGCTGCCAATCTAAGACCTTGGTGGGGGTGGGGGCAACAGGGAGAAGCAGTTAAGAATACGTGCAAAACCACTAGAAGGGACTGTGGGGAGTGGGGGGACTTCCCAGTCAAAGCTGTACCATGACATAAAGAAAACGAATAAAAACACAGCAACTGAAATACAAAATCCCTTCAAACAAAATAGAAACAGAAAAGCCTGAAAATAGTATGCTTAAAATTTTTTTCTTTTTTTGAGATAGAGTCTGGCTCTGTCACCCAGGCTAGGGTAGCACAATCTCGGCTCACTGCAACCTCCGCCTCCCAGGTTCAAAGCGATTCTCCTGCCTCAGCTTCCCAAGTAGCTGAGATTACAGGTGTGCGCTACCACACCAGCTAATTTTTGTATTTTCAGTAGAGACAGGATTTTGCCATGTTGGCCAGGCTGGTCTTGAACTCCTGACCTCAAGCGATCCACCCACCTCAGCCTCCCAAAGTGCTGGGATTACAGGCGTGAGCCACTCTTTTACTCTTTATAAAAGAGTAAAATTTCTTTTATAAAGGGAAAAAAAATCACAACAAGCAGAAGTGAAACAAGGCTAGGTGGAAATGAAAAAGAATTTAAAAGCTAAAGAATGAATATTTTAACTCAAAGTAAGTTTTAAATAATTTTAAAATAAGCAATGGAAATGAAAAACTGAGTAAGAGATAAAATGTAAACAGTAAAAATTGAAAAGGAGTTAATAAACTAGAGAATAATAATGAAGAATTTAACTAGAAAGTTGCAGAGGCAAAGAAGTTTTAAAGATATATTATGGAGGCCAGAAAACAAGGTTCAATGATATATTTAACAGCAGTTTCAGAACAAGCAAAGAGGCAATGAGAAAAGAAAAAATTACACTGAATCATATATTATCCAGATCAACAACATAACAAAGAAAATTATAACCTAATGGATAATCTAACTTTCAAGTAGCAAGAAAAAAAATTACTGGTTGAACTCATCTAGCTTAATTTTTAAATTATATTTTTTACTGTTGACCTCACTTTAGAGGGCCAAATTGTGTACAGAATACATGCTACCCAAGAACACCACAGAGGTCCTCTGGGTGTTTCCACAGAGCAAAATTGAAAACAGGGCCAATAAGTAAGGTGCAATTAACAAAAAAAAAAAAAGTCTGACTGGCCCAGTCTTCGGCTTCGGCTGCAACTTAATAGTCCTTTAAATTCAGTTTCTAACACCCAGAGAAATGACACATGAGATAAGAGTGCTTTCTTTCCAAAACGGTGGCAATAAAACTTGTGATTGGGGTAGAAGAGTACTAGAATAGTAGATTACAGAATTGAGTAACAGGATTTCTTGTTAACTAAAACCAAATATACAATCAAAAAGCAAACCTACTGCCATCAACACAATTTATTCAATCAGAAGTATCTTTTAACCTTTCTCTCCAAATTTAAAATAAATAGAAAAGTAATAATGCTGATAATTTAGGCTGCATTTATATTATAAAATTTTAACTCTCTTTTTGGTGGTCCAGCTGTGTCTACATAGCTTAAGAATCTGATGGTTTTATCTAAACTAGTTAAGACATACAGCTGGTTAAAGTTTTGTGTATTTTAGGGGCACTATCAGATTAATAAAAGTGCATTAATTTTAGCATTAGACAGACATGTCTTCAAAATTTGAAGGCATTTATATCTAGTTATATACTTAGTAATTCTTTTTGATGGGAATACATATCAATGGGAATCTTTCAAAGATATATAGTAGTTTGAACAGTAACCATATTAAGTCTGAAAACACAAACAATAAGACAGAACATCAGTTCAGTGTCTCTCTCTCAAGACAAAGCATACTCTTTGCTGGTGATAAACAGCACACTCACTTTACTTTAGTCTAAGCCTCCACCCACATAATCCTTAAAATTATATTAAGCTCCGGTGGATGAAAATACAGCAGCAGTCCTGCAGCCTAACTGCAAAGATGAAACCGTGTACTCGGCTGAAGGGCTGGTCTCCCTAACTAGCACGGTTCAGTCAGCATCTATCTGACAGCACAAGATACACAGCACACGCTTTCTTTAGTTATCTGTACATGTCAGTAGGACTCTGGCCCACTGCCATAAGGAACTCTATCTCTGTTCTCTGCTTTATCTCGTTGTCCATTCTTCAGTCATTTAGCACAACCACTACTTTATTTTCATCAGTAAGATGTTCTTCTGGGACACAAATGGGAGCTCCAACTGCTTCAAAAGCAGTTACTTGGCCAGGCGTGGTGGCTCACCCCTGTAATCCCAGCATTTTGGGAGGCCGAGGCGGGCGGATCACCTGAGGTCAGGAGTTCAAGACCAGCCTGACCAACATGGAGAAACTCCATCTCTACTAAAAATACAAAATTAGCCGGACATGGTGGCGCATGCCTATAATTTCAGCTACTCGGGAGGCTGAGGCAGGAGAATCATTGAACCCAGGATTCGGAGGTTGTGGTGAGCAGAGATTGTGCCATTGCACTCCAGCCTGGGCAATAAGAGTGAAACTCCGTCTCAAAAAAAGAAAAAAAGGAAAAAAAAAAAGCAGTTACTCACCAGCTGCTAGCTAAAAATCATGAAAATTAGAAAGCAACTCTTTATGATTTTTTAATCAAAGTAGTGTAACATTTTAAATTGGCATTTATCACCCAGCAATCCATTTCTTTTGTAGAAAGCCAAAAGAATTTTAACATGTTCATATAAAAGCAAGAATTTCCATTGAAAAGAAATTTTTACAGAGAACACTTATTTAGCAAACACCTATGAATGCACAAAGTCATTAACAATAATACCATCAATAGTGCTTATGTATGGCAGATAACCAAAACATGATGTTATTTGTTACTTTCCTTCCACACACCAAGAACCCAATAATTTTTACTGCATATATTACATATTTTAAGTACCAGAGAACTACAATGTAAAAAAAAATTCTTTTTAAAATATTTCATCTTTTCCTCCTGCTTAGGTCTCAACTGTACCATCCATCTTATATCACAAGCTGTCCTCACCCTACCTTTTTCTCCCCTGCTGACACAAAATTCTATTTCAAGCAACCCAAGGGTATTCAACATATCCCACACACATATCACATACTTTAAAAAAAATTTTTTTTCATGCCTTTCTTGTGTTTCCTGCTTAGAGTACCTTTTCCTTCCTTCTTTCCTGGTGAAATCTAACTCTTCTGTAAAGGCAGTAGTGCCGCCTACATTTGCAATACTTTCATCAATCCCAAACTGAATAAATTGCTGTCTCTTCTCTGACCCCCTACAGAAGTTTAGATGTGCCTCTTCACTGAGACTTCTCTGACAACTCCACTCATGGGGTCAAAGGAGCACAGTGTTTCTCCTGGGAAGCACTGCATCCTGACTATCAGTTAATGTTGCCATAACTTAACAGTTTTATAATTACATCTTTCTTAGTGTCCATCATCCTGCCTCTAACACCTCCCCTAGACTAAGAGCGCCATAAAGAAAGGGATCCAAGAAATTCCTCTTACAGATCTTATGACTTGCCCTCCACATAGTAAGCATGCAAAACCTATTTGATGAATAATAATAACACTGAATGGACACTCTTTAGGAGAAATAGTAAAATGAATTACAGCTGCAGCTTTGGAAAAAGATATAGATGCTAAGGAACCTAAGTCATTAAGTCTTAGTACATCAGAGTACAATTACACAAAGTTAATGTCTCCTGCTGCCTCTCTTTAAGGCCTGATTCCCACCCTCTCTGCCCCTAGGAACCACTAAAGTTTCTATGTCTACAGGTGGGCACACTGATTAGGGACTATAAAGTAGAGGTTACTATCTGACCCATTTAGAGAAAAAGTTACCATGTTCTTATTTGCTTGTTCTTTCTCCTTGCTCTGGGAATCTAATACTAGCCACCTCTGTGATTCCCTTTCCATTCTGGTCCCATTTTTTTTATCTTGTCTCTTCCATCTTCTGTCCAATATCAGTTTTTGCATGAGAGAGGTAGGCTATTTTATACAGTACTAGTCAGTCAGAGAAACACATTTTATTCTATGCAGTAAAGCAAGCTTTGATTTTAAGAGACTATGTAAACCCAATCTCAGCCATTTCTGCTTAAGAAAATCAAAAAGAGAGTTTACACAAAAGTGATACAGCACACTTCACGCACACTTTATTTTTATGTCAAATAGCTTCCTATTGCAATATCCTCATCTGCAAGAAACACTAAGTCCTTATT
Source organism: Homo sapiens (assembly GCF_000001405.40). Lineage (NCBI taxonomy): Eukaryota > Metazoa > Chordata > Mammalia > Primates > Hominidae > Homo > Homo sapiens. The sequence goes on from NC_000012.12 coordinate 116,199,462, forward strand.
TAGGAATACTAAATTGTGTCACCCTTGAGGCTTATGCAAGCTTATCATCTGACTTTTAAACATTTTCTATCTCTTAGAAAATACTCTGATCAAATGCCTAGGTTTCTACTTTCAGTAAGCATGTAAAAGCATTAGCACTGATTGCCCTAAAGCACTTTCAGAAAAACAGTTCCCATTTGGTTAAACAGTCATCAAATTTTAAGACCAGGAATCCATACTTTTTAAATGCTACTTTTTTTTTTTAATTCAAACCTATATCAGGAAAAATCATTTTTTGGTCCAGTATCAAAATCTAATCTCCACCCCTCAAGAAATAAAGAAATCTATCTGCCTTAACACCATACTTCCAACATTTAAGAAGCCAATCAATTACAACTAATACCTTTATACACTAAAGAGCATCAGTCAGAAGGACAAATTTTCTCAGGAAAATAATTTCAAGTTCAAGGTTATATGAGCATTTTGGACGTCATACTGTTTTCCACGAAATATAATTTAAATCAGCAGAGAGCCAAAATACATTGTCATGGTTGAAATAAAAGGAGGAAAAGTCCGGGCGCCATGGCTCATGCCTGTAATCCTAGCACTCTGGATGGCCAAGGCAGGAGGATGCTTTTCAAAAAAAAAAAAAAAAGGAGAAGAAGAAGGAAAAAGCAAACATTATTTTAAATAGCCTGTTTTTTAAAAAATTACATGACTAAATTATCTTAGCAACATAAGATTTCTTTAATAAAGTACTACCAATCCCCTGCCTTTTTTTTAATTATCGCATTTCCTTCTTACCCCAGGAAAAAAGTAATAATGGCCACACTGCAGTCATTCAACATTTCCAAAGAACTTTTGTACTTTGTACAATGTTAACAATCTAGTGTACTATAGCCACCTTTCTCATCACACATTGCAAGACATTAATTATATTCACAATAAATTTTCACACTTACTAGTGAAATACCATTTGTAGTTCAAAATAATTTGAAACTTCAAGAAAAACAGGTGAGAAAAATAATCTTTCCTTTCAGGTCTAATTTGTGAAACTTTCAGAATTCATTCAATTAGCAATTGTTCAACTATTGTTGAATTACTTGACAGGGACTATGTTAAAAGTGCTAACAGAAGAATATGTACGTAAACTGTCCTCAATGAGCCTACACCCCACAAGGAGAGAAAAAACACAATAATCAAAGCGTTCTGGTGCATGAAACCAGCAGTAGTACACTAAGTCTATACTAAGCACACTTCAAAGACTTCAAAGACTCACTGTGCCTCAATTTATATTTTAATCAATAAATTTGAATTTTTTAATGATTAAAAATAGTTTATAAAATAAAAGCACTACGCAGCAAGTTAGATTTTTTTAATACAGGGCTAGAGAGGTAGAGAATATCATAATAATTCCTATGACATAGTAGATCGGGTAGCTTTTGTCTTTTTAACTTAAAACAAGAGGGATGGTGTAAGCAAAAGGGCACATCTTCTGGGTTAAAACAGATACAGATCAGATCTGGAGAGAGCAGGTTACAAAAGAAGAACAGTCATCCTCAAGATTACTTAGTAAATACCCATGCTGGCCTTGAAACCATGGGCAAAATTCCAGATTGTAAAAGAAAACTGACTGTACAAAGACTAGGATCAACTGAATATAAAAATACACATCCACTAGTATAATTTTAAAAAGCCCCCATGGGTTGTCATATGAGAGTATCTATCTTTACCCAAGTCTTAACTTTCTTTAAAGTCCTCTATCCCAAATTGAAAATATTATTTGAAAATGTTACACGAAGAAGTATACAAGAAAAGTCTTCTACAAGATTAGATCAGGTAAGCCTATGTACTGTAATACCATATAAATTTTGGTCATTAAGTCCATCCAAATAAGGGTTGTAATAATAAATGAAGAAACCCTGAGATGGATACATTTCCTTAACTAAAAAAGAAATTACAAGGATGAGAGAAAAAGAATAAAAATAGACATTAACCCCGAGAAATAAAAATGACACATGTAGATCAACATCATAAAACATTTGATTTTTAAAAATGGTGATCCAAATATTCAACAAATCTATAAGCTGTGTATAAAGAAAGGTAACTTATGTGCACAGTCAGCAGCATTATTAATGCATTTAATAACACATGTGAAGCAAAGGACATCAAGGAGGCAGGAGGCTTCAGGGGGATCTGTACAGGTGAGCTTTACCTCCCACAATTGTACAGAGTTTTAGGAGCACGTGTATGGGTGCTTTTTTTTCTAGGAGACCATCCAAAGCTTTCTGCAGGTCTTCAAATGGATGAATGATCTGAAAAACCTAAGAGCCATCCATATAAGACTATAAAGTTTCCAACATTACAAATATGTCTTTTTCTTGAAAATGAGCAATATAATACAGTAAGAAAATAAGTTCTAAAAAGAATTAGGTTAAGGGCAAGGTTAAAACAAGCTATCATCAAAACTCCATGAAAGTCTTTTTATGGCATTAAAGAAATATGCTTCATTCTCTTTGTAAGCTGTAAATTTGAAAATTTAAAGTTTTAGGAAACTAAACTAGCTTTACAAAACAGATGTTGCTGCCTATGCCATTTAATCAATTCAAGTCACATTCCTAGAAGACAATATAGCCATCTGATGAGTTCAGCGTCAATGGAATGAGCCAAATCCACACAACAGCATTTTACAAAAATAATCAGTGGTTTAAAGCAGGGCATGTGCAAAATTCCTGAAATAACACATACATAATTCACTGCCAAACTCAGATCAATTCAGAATCTGCAGAGGCAAGAAGCATTATTATGGCTCTGAAATCCATATTCAGTAAGGCTGTGTTCAGAAAGTTTCATTTCAATTTCAAGAAAATAAATGACTAGAGAAGCTCAATAATGATTTTGGCAGATATAAGTACCCTTCGTTCAAAGCAGAATCATTTTACAGAGCTTAAGATTTTTTAAAAGATAAAGAAAAACACCAATTTATAGGACCTAAGTCTTGAATTTAAGGATGAAATGTCATCAACTTGAGAAATATAACACTGTATCTACTCAAATATTATAGCTATCCAGACAACAGTTAGAGGCAAGAGAGTACAATGGAAATGGTTGAAAAAGCACAGCCTTATTAGAGATCAGTTAGAATTGCAATTCTAACTGCATCACCACCAAGCTGTATGACACTGAGCAAGTTACTTCATTGCCCCATGCCTCGGCTTACGCATTTTTAAATCTCCTGTGGCTGTGATGCACAAGGAACTCCCCTCTCTCTAAAATCCACCAACCCTTAACCTTCTTCCCCTGACAGCCTCTGGGGTTCTTCACGGTCAGCGTCTCCCCACAGATTCACTCAAGTCTTTCTATTCAATAAGGCTTCAGAAAAATTAAAAACTGCTTCTCACAAAAGGCTTAGGAGAAAATGCAAAGTTAGAAGAATCTCAAAAATGTAAGAAAATCTGGCAAATGAAGAATACAAGAGAAATCACAAAGTTTTACAAAAGCACTCCTGTTCTTACCAGAACTCAATACCTGGAAGGCAGATGAATGGGCTTTGCTAAAACTTTTCAGATTTATTTTATGCTTGCTTGCCACAGAAACCAACACTGGACCTTTTAGTCTGAATTTCCTCATCTACAAAAACAGCGGGACCAAATTAAATCAGCGTTCTTCAAACTGTATTCCTCTGAACTCTCGAGTTTCATCAAAGTGCCTCAGAGACCTCAAGACAAATGTCTCCACACCATCTTCAGGCAGGAATGTTAACAGTTTTCTATATGAGGGTTCCATGTAAGATTCGGTTTTACAAGTTTTGCTTATAAAAGGCTTGCAAATGTTTACAAAATAAATAGGCCTTAAACTTGTAACATTCTGTACATGTAATATCATCACTTTGTGGTGGTGTTTATTTTTCTCTACTTGATGCTAGAAACAGTAACTTTTCTGAAGCTTTTGTTTTAAAAGGTGTTTTGTTTTGTGTTTTTTTTTTTGAAATAAACATAAAAATAAAAATAAAAAAACAGTCCAGTGCTAGAGCTGGTGGTAAAAGTGAAGACATATAAGGAAAGACTAGTGTAAGTTACCACAAAAGACAAGAGTGAGGCTGGGCGCAGTGGCTCACACCTGTAATCCAAGCACTTTGGGAGACCGAAGTGGGCAAATCACCTAAGGTCAGGAGTTCGAGACCAGCCTGGCCAACATGGCGAAACCCCATCTCTACTAAATATACAAAAATTATCCGGGCATGGTGGCAGGCGCCTGTAGTCCCAGCTACTCAGGAGATTGAGGCAGGGAGAACTGCTTGAACCCAGGAGGCAGAGGTTGCAGTGAGCCGAGATCACGCCACTGCACTCCAGCCTGGGCAATAGAGTGAGACTCCATCTCAAAAAAACACAAAAAGAAAAAGACAAGAGTGAAAAGTCATCGAGGAATCACTCAGACTTACGAATTGAATCAGTTAACTATATGCTTAGTTAGAAACAATAAAAACCCATTGCACAAATATTTTTGGTGAATAGGCTAGCCAGAGCAAAAATTTTATTTTATGGAAGAAAATTACATGTCGTAATGGTATCTGCAAAAGTGGGACTTTCAGAAGGCTTCAATATGCATTTCTTTGAAATGCCAGTGGTGGGCATACCACAATAGCTACTGATCTGCTTCCAAAAGTCAACCTAACTCAAAGTTTCTGCACATGAACCACAATCTAGCAATCTTTCTACTTTGAGAGAGAACAAAATTTTCTTTCTACTTTTGAGAGAGAACAAAATTCTAGATTACGGACCATAATCTATCAATCTTTCTACTTTGAGAGAGAACAAAATTTATCAGAACCTAGCCTTCCATAAAACTCCAGTGATTCAGACCAGCTGCTCAGGAGTCAGGAGCTGCCAGACGTAAACTGAATTGCTGTATTCCATGACTGCTATCAGCTAGGAGTAGCTACTACGCAGGAAGAACTTGTAAGAACTTTCCTGGCTAGCAAAAGACTGCTTGCTGTCTCAGTACCCATGCTGTAGGCAGTTCATGGCAATTCTTACAACAATCCTATTTTTCAGCGTAGATGGATGTTCTAATTCCTAAATTATAAACCTTTCACCAACTGCCTTTCTTCTAGTATGTGTTCTGGTGTTTGCTGTCATGACTTTTAATATAATGCCTTGTCTCATTCCCCACTATAAGTTCCTCTAGTTGCTATCTGGTCATTCTTGATCTCACTCTCCATTATATGTGTCCTCCTTTGGTCTACCCCTATCTTGTTCTGACCCACTGTTTTCCCTAGACCTGGCTCCTGCCCTTTATCCTAAACCTACCTTGTCTTGTCTGTAGATCCCTATCTGTAGATATAGAGATACTTAGGTATTATTATTATCTTATTTTCTTAAGCTAACCTGGCCAGAGTTTTCAGAATTGGCAAAGAATAAGATGTGTTCCCTTTCAGAATTTATAAAATGGCTAATATAAAAGAAGAATAATATCGCTGCCAAGAAAAAGCAGCAGTGTAGTGTCAGTGGTGATCACAGCTGGGACAAATACTGCTTCTTTGCTGTCTCCTCTGGTGGCTACCTAGAACACCATAAACCCTTTCTTCCAACTGTACATGGCCTCCTACTTACTCAACTACTCATGTGGCTTGCCTTCTGGGACACACAAATTCATCTTCATACTGTCGCCAAATCCTAACCAGAACTCAGAAAATGGTGAACAAAAACGGTGCCTATTAAAGAGAAAGAGAAGTCAGATTTTATCCTTATCCATTTGCTCTAGGAGCTCTGATGGCAAAAGCACTTCAAAACACCAGTTAACTATGTATTCCAACAATACACGATAAATGAGATGGCACTTCAAAAAGAGGTGCTGTAATACAAATTTTTTTCAAGTCGTGTTTTTTTTAACGTTTTTCCTAGCTTTTTTACACTCAATGAGACTCAAACAGAACTAGTCCTCTTCTCATCAGCTACTTGGGACCAAAGACATAAGTTCTTATTAGAAGATTCCTTCCCTCACCACCCCATAAAAGAAGCACAATGGTCCACTCCCTACAATAATCACCTTCTCAACTGTTCTACCATTAAAAAAAAAAAACAAAGGAAGAGAAAAAAAAAAAAAAAAAGGAAAGTCTTTTAAAAAGAAGAGCTAAGTCCTTTTCCTCCCTACTGTTTTTGGCCAGAGGGAGGGAGAAACTGAGCTATCAGTCCATTCAGAAGAAAATGGGTTACAAACAGAATGATTAAAAAAGGTATATTTTGGTAAATGGCCACCAATCTAATCCATTTGAATGATTCCAATTATTTTCCTACCTTATCCTTTCATTCAGATCTATCTTCTGCCATTCCTGGAGCTTGAGAAAGCAGTTAACACTTCCCGCTCTGAGGAAATGAAAGCCGCCTCACCACTGCGATAATCATAACCATACATATTAACTTCTTCATTAAAATATATTTAATATAAATACAGCAGTTTCTGCTGTGAAAACTTTACAATGCACTGCATAACTAAAAACTTGTTTTTTTTTTTTTTTTGCTTCCTTTGTATAAAGAAAACAAAGTGGCAATGATTAATTGGACAAAACTAAGAAACCTACCAAACTTTTGGGAATTAACTTCAGCGGATATAGAGATACTTAAGTATTATTACCTTTTTTTTTTTTTTTTTTTTTTTTGAGATGGAGTCCCACTCTGTCACCCAGGCTGGAGTACAGTGGCGTGATCTTGGCTCACTGCGACCTCCTCCTCCTGGGTTCAAGCAGTTCTCCTGCCTCAGCCTCCTAAGTAGCTGGGACTACAGGCATACACCTCCACACCCAGCTAATTTCTGTATTTTTAGTAGAGACGGTGTTTCACCGTGTTGGCCAGGCTAGTCTCGAACTCCTGACCTCAGGTGATCCACTTAGGTATTATTATATTTCAGAAGCTGTCAAACCATAGGAACATCTAAAACCTTACCTTAAGCACAAGCTAACAAAGCCAAACTGTTACTAATTCCTTCCAGTGAAGGAATGATACTTCTTCAAATGTGAGCCAGAAGTAAAGTTATTTACACCAATACATTTAAGAACTATCAGTTTCATGAATGAACATCTATCAGTGAAGAAGGATAAAGAAAAGTTATAGACGGGGAAAAAAAGGTAACAATATACAAAATTAGCAAGCCAAAGGGCTGTTGAGGAAAAACAGCAAGTAGCCTTTTTTTTTCAAACACCTGTCCTCCTCTTATTATTAAATCTAGGAATCCAGAGCATTAAAAAGTTACCAAAGCACTGATATACAACTGAGTATCTGTTTCTATTTAAACATACTGAAAGAAGATAAAACGCTAAAATAATCTGCATTCTCTACAGAGTTCACTGTTTACAAGTTAAATAACAAAACATTAACTTCTTTATGCCTTGTTTTGTAGATTTGACTTTGGAACTACACTTCATAATTATAAAATGATTAACTTTTTTTTATATATCCCCCCCAAAACTCCAAAATAAGATGAAACAAAAGCACCTCACTGTGTAACCAGTTGGTGACAAAAACCACAGAGAGGAATTATTCTGAGTGACTTTAAAGCATAGTAAAGGCACATTCATAACAAAATATACACTAAGAACAAAGAAAATCTCTAGGTATACGAATACAGTCATATGCCGCCATGATGACGTTTCAGTCAACAGATGGACCACACAGATGATGGTGGTCCCATAATATAATAAAACTGAATTTTTACTGCACCTTTTTTTTTTTTGGTAAGATTTTTTACAGAGATGGGGTCTCCCCATGTTGCCCAAACTGGTCTCAAACTCATGGGCTCGAAAGATTCTCCTGCCTCACCCTCCCAAAATGCTGGGATTACACATGTGAGCCACCGTTCCTTGCTTTTTCTATGTTTAGGTATGTTCGGAAACACAAACACTTACCATTGTGTTATACCTGCCTACAGAATTCAGTGCAATAACATGCTGTAGCCTACAAGCTACATAAAGCCCAGATGTATATAGTAGGCTATACTGTCTGTGTTTGTGTAAGCAAACTCTGTTGTTCACACAATGATGACATCACCTAAAGAGGCATTTCTCAGAGGCATTAAGCGACACATTGCTGTATTTCAATAACAGACAACAACAAAAAAAGAGTTAGCATTTCTAGTAATATTGATGGCAGTGTTGTTATTCTAAGAGTGCTGTATTTATATCATGGGATAAAGCAAATAAAAAAATTATGTTGAGCATCAGCAGTTTGGGCATGGGAAAAAGAAGATACAGACAGATATAAGAATGATATTAAGTAAAAACCTTGTAGTCCTGAACTTGAATTGCCAAGTATCAGTATGAATTACTATGTAATTTATGTTTTAAAAAAAGAAAAAAAAAAAGACATGCGTCTAAGTCTGTTCACTGAAAAGGCCTAAAAGGTATGAGTAAGTTAGTAGCAATAGGAATCCTCAGTGCTCAGATTGTGGTCTCTAAATACTATGCCCCAACTAAAGGAACTATAATTCCTTAGCAAAATGGGCTAATTCCAAATCTGGAGCATAAAATGTTCAAGATAAGAAGGGAACATGTTGTCATACCAAAAAGCAAGGAGGGTATCAGTGACTAGTTAAGAGTCGTGTCAAAACTACTCGGAGGTCACCTTGAATAGGTTTCCACTGGACAAAGATAGAAAATTTAAACATCGAGAAGGATAACAGGCTGGACGCAGTGGCTCACTCCTGTAATCCCAGCACTTTGGGAGGCCGAGACAGGAGGATCACCTGAGTTCAGGAGTTTGAGACCAGCCTGGCTAACACGGTGAAACCCGGTTTCTACTAAAAATACAAAAAAATTAGCCAGGTATGGTGGTGGGCGCCTGTAATCCCAGCTACTCTGGAGGCTGCGCAGGAGAATCACTTGAACTCAGGAGGTGGAGGTTGCAGTGAGCTGAGATCGTGCCATTGCACTCCAGCTTGGGCAACAAGAGCAAAACTCCGTCTCAAAACAAAAGGATAACAACTGCAATAAATTGAAACACAGTTTGTTTTAATCCACGAGTTCACGATAATATTCAAAAATAGGAACTCACAGGTCATCTTTGGAGCAACAGTTAACTATCACCCCATAGGGGAAAGTTAACGTAGATACATCTCCCTGAAAACCTTTCTTCAAATGCTATTTAAATCACACCTGTCATTTCAATAACTCAAGTAAGATTCAACTGTTCTACTCACAGCAGAAAGAGGATAAAACTAATTCAAATATTCTATATAAAGAAAAAAGCATCTGGCTGGATATAGTGGTTCATGTCTATAATCCCAACACTTTGGGGGACTGAGGCAGGAACACTGCTTGAGGCTGGGAGTTCAAAACCAGCCTTGGCAACATAGCAAGATCCTGTCCCTACCAAAAATCATTTTTTTAATTAGCCACGCATGGTGGTGTGCACCTGTGGTCTAGCTACTTCGGAGGCTGAGATGTGAGGATCACTTGAGCCCCAGAGTTTGAGGTGTCACAGTAAGCTATGACTGTGCCACTGTACTCCAGCCTGGGTGACAGAGCGAGACCCTGTCTCTAAGAAAAAATAAATAAAGCACCAGGGAAAAAAAAGGAAATACTACTATCTGATTCAAAGTATGAGGTAAAAAATGGAAATATTAAAGCCCCCCATCAAGCCTTCATTTGTATTTTATGCATTTCAATTAATATATCTTTATAAATATATTTTGATGAAATAAAATGCACCTATGCAAAAATCATCAATGATTATGAGGCATGCTCGGAGCCTAATGGTTTTTTAAATTGCCAACAGTTTAGGTACCACTACCTGTGGACTTTAAATGTTGCACGTACATTATAGAGACAGCTAGCTATGACGTTTGATTCCTAAGAAAAACTACAAACCAAGGAGGTGTACCTCAGTATTCAACATCCTTAAAGAATTTCCACTTTGGATTAAATGAGACCCCTAAGGCCATGATGAGGAAATATTTTTAAATTATATCCAGAAAAATCACATGTGCTAGAACATATATCCCTTCATGCCTTTGTTTTTTAAAATAGATGACTATTACAACTGTGACACATTCTCAATCTCTGGCCCTTTCTGATGCCTTGACCCAGTAACCATTACCATTCCACACTTCTCTGAAGCAATGCCGTGAAAATCATGGCTCTTCACTCAGTTTACATATTCTAACCCATCTGTCCTCTTCTATGCTTTCCTTCCTAAGTATTTTCCTTATTATTCTTTATTGCTTCCTACCAAATGCTGAGGGAGTGGTCAGATAACTATTAGAGCCCAACCCTCTACCACAGTGAGATCTGTTTCAGAAATACTTGGAAGTCCCAAGGCAAAAATAAACCAAGATGACACTTTCTCAAATGATACAGAGCCCTCAAACTTTGGTAAAGCCCAGAAGACTTCCAAGTGGTCCTATTCTGCTCTGTCTTACCCTATTCTTCCAAGCGGTCCTAACCTAGCATAAGTTAGGATTCAAGATTTAACCATGGCTTAACCAAAATTGGGCTTCCTCTTGAAATATTCTTCTAAAAGTTCTAAGAAAGTTAACCATTTCTCCCTTAAATTTTTCTAATGTTTTGGGCAGTCAATTCCCACAAACTAGACTAAGCCCATTTAAGGGAAAACAATTCAAGACCAATTCAGCTGCCCTCCCTTCCCACTGCAACTTACATATGACAAGAGATAAAACATTGTGGGAAAGGGGCAGGCAGAAAAGTCTTAATGGTTATACTCAGTTAGCAGAGGCACCCTGAAATGATTTCTAATCACTACAACAGTACACAGATATTCTCTAAACTATATTCAGAGGATCTGAATCTTCAGTGAAATCATTGCAGGACGGAGTATCAACTGGACTATACGTCTGGATCTGCAGCTACATTCAAGAAAAGTCAACTGCTTTGAAACGTTGCCACAATTACATTCTTAAAGGAAATCAGAAAAACCACTAAGCAAATGGTATGCATAATATTGTTACTTCTCTCAAACCTCTGAGAGCATTTAATAAATGTTTGTTGAATGAATCGCTTTATTTCGTGGAATACATATGGTATCTCATAAGCATTCTGTTTAACACCTCCCTAAAACTTGAAAGAAAAAAAACCAGCCCAAAAGCAACCGCAGAACGTAACCTATATATATATATATATATATATATATATATATTTCTATAGTGGTATCAGAGAGCCCTAAAATCCAACCACATGCCTTCGGGGAAAATGCATTATGATCTGTACAGCACCTAACATTAATCCTACAAATATACTACACAAAAGCAATAAAGAATTCCAAAATCCAAAACTGGTACAATTAATCTATCACTCTTATTTTAGCACGCAAGCAGAAACGTGCCAAAATAAGGCTGCCTGAGTTTAGGGAAAATGTAAGTAGTAAACTGGTATGATAATGAATAAAGAAACTTCTAAATAAAGCTAATGAAAGTGGAGCAGCATTTATAAATGAAAGCTCACCAGGAGACACTGAAAAGCACTCTCATGGTTTACCACCTGAAGCTATCAACTTGAAAAGCCTGCAAAAAGGAACAAAACTAGTTTCCAACCACAATGAATAAACTCGCCACCATATCAAAAAGGAAGAAAGGAGATGAAGAGGGAGGAAAGGACTACAAAGAGATCTAGGGAAACTTCGTGACACTCTAATTATGCCGCTAGCCAGAAGAAAACTTCCCACTGCACTTCTGCTCAATGATCTTCTGTTAGAAGACCTTTAGTCCCTTTTCTTACGATGGTGCCCAAAGTGGCCTTTCGGACCTTTCCAACCATTGCTGAAACCTAGACCAGCACTGTCCAACAAGGCAGCCTCTAGCCATATGTAGCTACTGAGCACCTGAAATGTGTTCTGACACCAGGGATCTGAATTTTTCATTTTATTTAATTTTAATTAACTTAAACAGCCACATGTGATAAGTGGCTACCATACTGAATACTGCAACTTGAGAGTCAAAGTCCCTGTCATTTTATTACTGAAGGCAGTTTTGCTGACCAAAAAAAAAATGCACCTTTAAGACAAAAAGGTGGCTGATTCTGCCTCAGAGGGGCCTGAACTCAAGAGAAAACAAAACAACACAAACCTTTCTTCAAGGGCATTTCTAAACTAAGTATCGGCCTACAAGGCTCCTAAATACTAGAAGATATATCCTGAAACTGCCTGATTTATACTTTAGGGCAGCTGAATTTGGGAGTCAGAAATAATTTTTATAATATGCAAGATAAACGTTAAGTGACAAAAAAAACAGGATGGAAAAATAAACCTAGAAAGTTCAAAGATTTTGCTTAAATTTCCTTACAAATAAAAGCAACTACTCATCACAAGTCCCAAATACCTCTCTACATTTGTAAAGCTGTCCACTTCTTAAGTATACTGCTGCCTGTATCATTTTAATCCTCGATTCCATTCCATTTAACACTTTTGTTAGATATGTCTCTGCTGGGTAGCACTTTCTAATAGCATTGTGACATATTACTAAGGCTGTAAAGCAACATGAGAGTAGGCATATAGTACTGTAGTTTAATAAATAACTATTAAAATAAGTTGAAATAATGAAAAAAACATTTTGAAAGTTATTAAACTACATATATCACATTTTTTTCTGAGAAAACCAAATCCACCAAATAATCATATTACAGTAAGTCCTCACTTAATACTGTTGATAGGTTTTTGAAAACTGCAAAAGTGAAATAACATATAACAAAATCAGGTTTTTTTCCTCATCCATGTTACAACAGAACATTGAAGGAAAGGACGTTATTCAAGAACCTGCTATATGTCATTTCACTTAAAGTCACAGTTTCACTGTATACCTTTGTAATTAAAATTTTAAGTTAGTGTATAATATCCTCTTAGAAACAAACCCATGAGATTAAGTTGTTAACTATTAAAAATGATAATTAAGTTAATTTTCATAAATGGTAAGGGTTGATAGTATTATTATTTTCCTGTTTGAATAAAAGTAACTCAAGAATAACAGCCTCTCTCACATGAAATCAATAAATCTTCTGAGCATCAGAGAATTCAATCCCACAATTTTATTTTCAGCTGAGTATACTATGACACTATCTTATAAACAACCCCCTTCTACTAGGAAGGTTTTTTTAAGCCCAAACAATTACAGATAGTTAAAATTATTCCATAAATACAGCACATATGGAGCAAGTTAAATAAAATATGCTTCTCCAACCTAACACGGTATTAAAAGTTAATCTCCTGCAGCTCACATAACAAAACAACAAAACTTTAACCTACATTCTGAGTAAAACACATGTATAGAAAACAAAATCAAATAAGTTCACCCTTAATAATCAAATGATATAAAACAACAGGCTTAAAATACTATCGGGAATCTCAAGTGATTCCTAAATATACATAGTCCTTACTGACAACAAAACTACAACAGAAATGACACAGAGAGAATTACAACATATATTAATCATCTTTTGAAACTAAAAAGAAAGTGGAGAGTTAATGCTCAAGGTAACTCCTTGACATGCTGCCATTAGATCAGGCAGACTATCTTCTGTGATGCTGCTATGCAATCAGATGGCTAGCCTAAAAAGAAAAAAAACTACTACTGTCAATTACAGTCTCAATACTAGCATCTAAAAAGTCTTATGCGCGAAGAAAAGCCACTTATAAACGAAGCATAAAGCCTACTGCTCCCAATTTGCACGGCTTGATGAACTTCTACAATTTAAACTTCATCTCCCACACTCTTCCAATAAACCAAGGTTTCCTTCTCCACCAATTCCCTTTCACAGGGAGGGAGGGAGGGAATGGGAAGGAGTGGGCAGACAAGGTGGACAAGAAAGAGGGGAGGGAGGGAAAACAAGAAGGAAGGAGGGATCTCCCAGCTGCAATAAACTGCTTGCAAATCAAAGACAAAAGCAAGCATGGAGGGGCAAATGTTTTGAAGTAAAAAATAATACTACTAAAATTATTTGCAAGTTTCTTCTGGAGTGCAAAAGTTTGTTTTTGTTTGTTTGTTTGTTTTCTGAGACGGAGTTTTGCTCTTGTTGCCCAGGCTGGAGTGCAATGGCGCAATCTCAGCTCACTGCAACCTCTGCCTCCAGGTTCAAGCGATTCTCCTGCCTCAGCCTCCCAAGTAGCTGGGATTGCAACAGGCATGCGCCACCATGCCTGGCTAATTTTGTATTTTTAGTAGAGACAGGGTTTCACCATGTTGGTCAGGCTGGTCTCAAACTCCTGACCTCAGGTGATCCACCCACCTCGGACTCCCAAAGTGCTGGGATTACAGGCGTGAGCCACCGCATCCAGCAAAAGGTCTTTTTTATTTTTACCACTTTGTAATTCATTATCCCAAATTCCTATCTGAGGCTTCTAATTTACCTACACATACTGATCACTACCAAATATGGAATCCTTTTATTTCAAGGGGTATAATATCCTTATAGAAAATTATTCAGCTACCAGTTAGAAAAAGCTGAGAAATGCTTTCTGAAATCTTTGCTCATCAGCCCAGAATTTAAAGTTCGTACCTAGCAAACACAGTGTTACATCCATCTTGTATAGATTTCCCTTAAAACACACAAAAACACACACGCACCCCTTGAAAAACTGTGAAGTATCTTTAAAAGTACAATTTAAGTCACAGCTACTCTGCCTATGGGGTAGCCCTGCTCTGTCTATGGTGCAGCCATTTTCCTGTACTCTGCTGCTCTAATACACTTGCTTTGCTTTCACTTAAAACAAAAAAGTCACAGTAAATTAGGATTCCTTAGTAATATAAATAAATCCACTGGACACAAAGTTCTAAAACTTTTCACTTTTTCATCGACAACTTGGGTTTAACAGTAACTATAAAATATAATATTCTTCTACCAATATGTTGTAGTCATGGTAACAAAAACTGTAAACTGCTTCTTGGACCATCTGACTTATCTTGTTATGCAGTAACTCAGTTCTTGAAGTCAAGAGCCATTCAGTGAACCTGGAATTCTTTTCTAAGAAACCTTCTCTCTTCACTTAGACAAAAAGGTTTAAAAAAAAGCTTCAGAAGACCTATTTCAAAGGCTGAATCGAATATTTTCAAAATATAAACCAAGAACCTAATCAAACACAAAATCAAAATTTTAATACTATATTTATATATCATCCTAAATTTGGATAAAATATATGTAATACCAAAATTTCCCACTATTCACCAGCAATGTCTAAGGAAAATATAATTTTTCAATAATAGCTTTTTTTCTCTTGATCTCCTTTAAACAATTCAGACAGGGGTAAGAATGACTGGCTCAAAATCACTTCACTCAACATGCTCAGAAGCAAAAAACCAGTACAGTTCACATTGCAACTAAAAACCTTCTACCTAAACTCACTGCAATTTCTATCATATGGTCAATAAATGTATTTGGTTAGTTCTGCACTATTTTATTGCCAAAAAAAATTCTCAAACATAATAATCTTTGTTGCCTCACAGACATGCACTTTCATTGGACTGATAAATTCAGGCCACCCTATTTAAGAATGTAAGCCTATCAATCTGGTCTCACATCACTACTACCAACTAATATATCCTAATGTTCAGGGCACCCTTAAATTTACAAATTATCAAAATCTGCATTAAAATTCCAAAGGATATCATTATATATGCATAAACTAAACTAGCAGTAGGTTAATTCCTTTTAAATGTCCCAATAAAGAGGTTTGTTTTTTGGAAGTGGCAGTGTAAAATATCTTATTTTTGCTTTAGTTACTATCAATAACCCAGCATAACATAATATGATCTTTGTGCTTTTTCACCCACAAATGGAGTAGTCTAAATGACAATCAGTACTTCCTCTATTCCTCTAAGTGAACATTCTTTGTTTCCTTCGCAGGTGACAAAACCATATTACATCCTATTTTTCTCAGAAGTCTTGGAGAAATCTGTTACTACATATTCCATAGAACCTTCAAAGCCTTTGTCCACTGTCTAAGGAATTAAGCCAAAGAAGTGTTACACAGTGTGGTTCCTATCTATCTTTCCAGCATCAAACATCCTCTTAACCTGCCTCTCTTATAGCTGATATCTTATAAACTCTGAACACAAGGAGTTACTAAGATTCCAATTCAATATCTCCTATTGTGCTAAAATACAAAAACCTAAAGTGCTGGGATCGTATCTTCCTTACTTCTACATCCATAATGCCTCGCACAGTATCTAGGAAAGAGTAATTGTTCAATGTATGTCTAACAGATAAAATGAAGCCAAGCCCCTTTCCCTACAGTGAAGTTGATTAATTTTAATACCAATAAGTTAAAGCTCTCCTTTCACACAAAAGTGCAATATTTAAGGATCAAAACACCAGATGTGATTAAAAATACACAAAACACCAATTTAATGGTCCTCACTGCATCTTTCCAAGAATGATGGAACCACCTCTTAATACTCTCCTTACCATCAATGTCCCAGCCCCAATTTATTTAACATATTGTAGCCCAGATTAATCCTCCCAACTGTTCACCTAATTCTCTTCTCAAGACTCTCAAGAGATCCACTAATGGTCTACTGAATGGTGGTAATGTATTAACCCAGTATTCAAGGTCTCCCATGATCTGATTTAAATTACCTTTTCAAACTTTTTTCTTCCTCTTCTCTTTATTACAACCTCTCAACAGACAAGCTGAAATTCTAGCTATGATCTATACTTGTCCACTGCGTCTCTGCTCTTGTGACACTTTTACTAAGCTATCTTTCCTCTCTTCTGCCCCTGAAACCCACGTCCTAATTTACTCTCTGAAGCTTTATTTATTTATTTAGAGACGGGGTCTCACTGTGTTGTCCAGGCTCTCAAACTCCTGGGTTCAACTGATCCTCCAGCCTTGGCCTCCCAGAGTGCAGGGATTACAGGCATGAGCCACCACACCTGTCCTGAAGCATTATTTTTACTGCTACTTCCTCCATAAGACTTGCTTAATCCTGGTATCTATAGGTCACCTCTACTCTTCCCAATTCCCAGAGAACTTTATCTGTAGCTCTATTACTGTGCCTACTACAAGTGTAGTACATCTTGTTTCTTATAGTCATCACTCCTACTAGCATCTAAACCTTCAAGAATCAATGCTTGCCTCAAGAAAGAAGGGGACAGAGATGCTTCTGGAAGAAATGTATGCAAAGGTCCAATAGTGGTTGGAAAAAGTGAAAACCAAAGTGACGGCTGCTCACAGAGAACACCAAGTTTAGTTTAAACATGTACTGACTGCTGGGGGAAAACTGTGAAAGGTCACTTTACTGATCAATGTAAGAAGCATAAAGCCATGCAGGAAATTAAATCCACTTTCTCGTGTACCATATTCACAAACATTCTATTCAATATAGGGGATTCAGCTCCTCAAGAGAAATTTGGTGGTTTGAAAACTAGTTACTGTAGCAAAGACTAATACATTACTGTACTTGATTTGACACTGAAAATCTCCAACAAAGATGTATCTAACTAGCAAGAAAATCCCATATCAATGTACAAAAATACCCGACAGTAATATATGGCAGCAAAGTTATTAAGGACAGAAAACTTAAAGCAAAAATCTGTTGTCCTCAAGGAAGAAAAAATTTTAATACTTTGACTTTTTTTATGTTCTGCTGAATACTTTGACTTTTTTAATGCTTTGGTGATAATTTGGGAAGTCTTTCCCTTTACCTTGACAGAGTATCAACTGAAGACCCTAACCCAATTGTGCTGGGATGTGTGCTCTCTCCTGTGACAGTTACCTCTACCCAGGAAAGACAGGCAGCATGACACATGAGCATGACCAAGAGGGTGCTTGAGCACCCACCCACATTGATGAAGATAACAACCTATTAGGGAATGAAACAGGAGCCCAATGTGAGCAAAGTCAAGTTTTTTATAAGCAGCTATCTGGTGGTATTCAAGGATGCAACATGGCAAAACTTAATCTTGGGAAGCTGGAAGAGATTAATGACTAAGTACATTTTTTTAAAAAACCATATTTCAGACCTGCAAATTTGGCTGTCTTGAGCCATAACTACATCCCTTTGAGTTTCAAACAGGATTGGTAAAAGTCCTATCCATCTCCTCCCACACCCACAAAGACAGTTCACGTCGGCCCATGATGACATCTTACAAAAGTCAAAAAAATTGGCTAAACATTTTAAACAAGAGAAACAAACTGCTGATGTTACAGCAGGAACAAGAACTTTGAAGAGGCAAAAACACGAACAGAGGAGAAGTACTTCCCCCATCACAGCTTTTATCACACTGTATTGTACCTTCCTGCTTACTTATCTAATTACCTCATTAAAGGATAAATTCTGTGAGATGAAGAACTGAGTGACACAGTTCAACAGTGAATGCCCAATACCTAACACATTACCTGGCCCTTATTTGAAGTGCAGTAATATCTGATGATTAAATAAACAAAAACACACAGCAAGAGTAAAGAGAACCCACTAAAACCTCATAAGCATCCTGAGAATTATACCAAAATAAGGTGCCTTAAATTCAAAATGCATTAATTAAGTTTCTGGAAAAAATGAGCAACTAGTTATATATCTCAGTCTCCTGGAAGTAACTAACCATGTCTTTCCCAGCACACAACATAGTCGTCTAGCACTCAACACAAGCTCGTTGAATTGAATTATACACTTCCCCTCCTCCTCCAAGTATAAGAGATTCGATAACATAAAGAGATTCAATAGCATAACTATCTAATCAGCCTTTCTCTAATTAAACTTTTGTCAAGTCATTTTCCAAAGTATGTAATTTTTTTTAACCCAGAGGCATTCAATGATCAAGTTTACTTCGTATAATACTTTCTGCAAAAGCCAAAACACAGAATAAAAGATAATAAAATGGGATTTTTTATAGCTCTCAAGAATATCCAATAACCTTCAAATCTAATATTTAACACACTGGCAATTACTGCCCACTCCTTCTAAATATAACAAAGTCAAGGTCAGTTTTTAACTCTGTTCAAAACAACAGACACTCAAAGATTCCTGCAATGCCAACAATTATAATTATGTCAACCAGCCAACATTTACAACAAAAACATGCTTTTTATACCTAACACCCCTTCACCCTACTCTGAGACTCACAGTTCAGTACTCTATGTACTTTCTGGCATTCTCCAGAAATTCGGTCTTCAGGGAAAAGTTTTAACCAGCATTTTTTTTTTTGACACTAACATCAAACTTTTCAGAAAAAGATAAAGAAGTTGTAAATGGCTCTCCATTTTCAAATTTCTTCTCCAAATAACCCAACACAAAATCTGTAATTTAACAGGAGGGCTTATCAGCATTAAGCAAAGCATTTAAGGCAATTTAAGGCAAGCAGTAAAATTTTTTTTTTTTTTGGAGACAAGGTCTTGCTCTGTCACCCAGGCTGGAGTGCAGTGGTGCAATCTCAGCTCACTGCAGCCTCTGCCTCCCAGTCTCAAGTGATCCTCCAGCCTGAGCCACCCCAGCAGCTGGAATTACAGGCATGTGCCACCACACCTGGCTAATTTTTTTTGTATTTTTGTAGAGACAGGATTTCACCATATTGCCCAGGCTGGTCTCAAACTCCTGACCTCAAGTAATCCGCCCACCTTGGCCTCCCAAAGTGCTGGGATTACAGGTGTGAGCCACCACACCCAGCCTATACCGAAATTCTTACAAGTTAGAATGAAAAGTGTCAACGTAAAATAGCCAATTACATACACCATTCTAGTCAGTTCAAAAAATTTTGGAAGCTGACAGAATGTCAATAATAAAGAGACAAGCTTTTTAAATTTTATCTTTCTGTACATAACTGGACTTATTCTTAACTTATATAGTGAATTTTATGAACATCTAATCAAGGAAAGTGAAATAAAGAGGAATACTCGTAAACATAAAGAATTTAAATTATATTCATGTTATTAGTATATATTTCTACATCTTAAAAAATCTAATTAGCATACGTTAAAGGTAAAGATAGGCAGATGCCTATTTTCACCAGTGTTCCAGTATTTTAACTAAAGCTAGATCAGCATTATAAATACAAAAATAAATAAATTTATTTCTGAAGAAAATGTAGACATCTATACTCAATTCATTAATTTTATTAATCTTAAGTAATTTTTAAGATTTCTTTACAAAGAGATGTGAATATAAAGATTAATTCATTGTTTATGTCCACAATGTGGACATTAAAATCCCTGGATCACCATCAAACCTAACTTTCGAAGCATTCATTTATTGTACACATATTAATTGTTTGAAATTTAAAATATACAGTATTTCCCAACCAAATTATTTTGAGAGTAAAATGTCAAAATTGAACCAAAGTCCTATTTAGAAAGTATTCAAGCTTTTAATGCCAAAAGCCATTTTTAAAGAAGTTCTTACCAAAGTAAGTTCAACTGCCAGTTTTTTTGTTTTATTTTGTTTTGTTTCTTGAGACAGAGTCTCGCTCTGTCTCCCAGGCTGGAGTGCAGTGGCATCATCTCGGCTCACTGCAACCTCTGCCTCCCGGGTTCAAGCAATTCTCTGCCTCAGCCTCCCGAGTAGCTGAGATTACAGGTGCGCACCACCATGCCCAGCTAATTTTTGTATTTTTGGTAGAGACAGGGTTTCACCATCTTGGCCAGGCTGGTCTTGAACTCCTGACCTCGTGATCCACCCCGCCTCAGCCTCCCAAAGTGCTGGGATTACAGGTGTGAGCCACCGCACCCAGCCTACCAGTTTTTAAAATGATATAGCAAAACTATCTGTAACACTGCCTAAGTGAACTAAAGCTGTAACAGACTAGCTTAAGCTGTTAATGCCATTATAAACTAATCTTTTCACAAAACATACCAAATAATCATGGGATCAATTAAAATCTCCATAAAATAATAATCTGAATTACTATTTAAATTAATATTTACTTCTTCTAAACTCTATTGCCTCCTACTCGAGATTTCCAAGAGAAAACTATTATTTACATAGCCAACTTCCAGATTCCCACTTCTCTTAGACCATCAAAATACACGCGCTGGATTTTAAAAGAGAACATAGGGCCGGACGTGGTGACTCATGCCTATAATCCCAACACTTTGGGAGGCCGAGGCGGGCAGATCACTTGAGGTCAGAAGTTCAAGACCAGCCTGGCCATTATGGCGAAACCCCATCTCTACTAAAAATACAAAAATTTGCCAGGCATGGTGGTGCTCATTTGTAATCCCAGCTACTTGGGAGGCTGAGGCAGGAGAACCACTTGATCCCGGGAGGCGGAGGTTGCAGTGAGCCGAGATTGTGCCATTGCACTCCAGCCTAGGCAACAGAGCGAGACTCTGTCTCAAAATAAAGGGGCCATAAACAAAAGTTTTTTGCTTTGATATACATATATTGGCAGAGGTTACATTTTATATATGGTCTATTAACCTGAGAATTAATTAACCAAATAAGTTACCAGGTAAAATTTTAGGCATAATACTTAGTCTTATGAAAACCACAGAGTTGGGGGAAAAAACTGTGTGGTTCTGCACTTTTAAACAAAGTATATACTACTGAATATACTACTGAACTCAAACTTCAGTGATTAGTTTGAAGTCCCTCTAGTGTTCAACTAGGTTAAGTTAACAATCTCGATGCGGTAAAAGCTGCCACTTATTTGATAACTACTAACTCTATCCTACATATTAAATAAAAATGAGTTTAATAAACACAAAAGAAAGTATAAAAACAAATTAGCAGCTGGGAGTGGTGGCTCATGTGTGTAATCTCAACGCTTTGGGAGGCTGAGGCAGGTGGATGGCTTGAGCCCAGGAGTTCAAGACCAATCTGGACAACACAGTGAAACCCCATCTCTATAAAAAACACAAAAATTGGCAATGTGTGGTGGTACATGCCTATAGTCTCAGCTACCCACAAGGCTGAGGTGGGAAGATCACCTAAGCCAGGAAGTCTAGATTGCAGTGAGCTGTGATCACGCTACTGCACTACAGCTTGGGTGACAGGGTAAGACCCTGTCTTAAAAAAAAAAAAAAAAAATGAGTAGTATCAAAATTTTCCCTGAAATTCATTCAAGTTAATATTCTGAAAGAAAGAATAAACCCAAAACTACTTTACACTGCAAGATTGATTACCAAGCACCTACCACAATGCCTAGTACCTATGAACTAACCATAAATATCTGATTATTTTCTGGTTCCCAATTTTCAATATATAATTCTTTCAAACCTTCATTCATTCCTAGTTTATTGGTACTATAAAATTAGGCACAACGAGCACAAATAAAAATTATTCTATAAACAAAAAATCAAATGTGGAAAAGGAAACAGGTTTATTATATATCATGCAGCATGAATCTGGAACAATAATCTTTGTTAATCAAATACTCTTGCTTATTCTATGTGATACTAATAAAAAGTTTAAAAACACTCTGATCAACCGATAATTAAGAGACATCAAACTAATTTTTAAGGGATTAGATCACAATCCCTATTTAAAATAATATGAAAAATTATTTTTTATTCAAATCCCCATAAGGAGCAAGGGCATAAATAATTATAATCATTCTTGCACAGCCAAAGACAGAAAGTGGTTATAAAAGACCACATTTTAAAACATCCAATGCCCATATATAATTTAACTAAGACTATATTGACAATGCTAGGTGGAAAACAACTCAAATTTTATACAGGTAGAAAGTATGGCCAAAATTATGAAAAGCAAAATTATATCCTTATTTAGCATCTAAAATCATGAAGATTTTAATATTCTGACAGTAGAGTTCATTTAAAAATATATGGCTATAAAATGCATTTACACAACAGTTAAATCTAGCTGCTTTTCACATTCACTTCATGTTGTACCATAAAATAAAGACATAATTTCCATAGTACAGACAAGAATGAAGACAAGCAAATTTAAATGTCTTGCCTGCAATGACACGTCACAGAAGTGGCATTGTATGAACACTCCATTCCTTATTTTTACTTTCTACACTTAATCTTATGACCTCTACCTCTCCATAGGCGAAGGATAACAGAAGAATGATAGATTTATTTCTTCCCGGCCTCTGTTCCATTTTGGATATGTGAGGGTGAATAGAAGGGAGTAATCCAAAATCCATGACCTATGCTGTAATGCCAGCTGAGCTATGTTCACAAACAGAAAAAGAGAATGAGAGATGGCTCCTGGCCAGGAAAGTCTGACTCACTAATGATACAAGTACTCTTTGAGCATCTTCTGGGAAACATGGCGGCATTTCAGGTGTTGCCAAACCAAAACTTCAACTAATATAGGGAATTCAAGCAACTCCAGGTATGTGTGTGAGTGTGTTTGCAAGCATCGTTGGAGAAGATGTACCTTGTTTAACATGTATGTACCTTAATAATCTTTGAAAAATGCCACTTTAAAATCATACAACTTGCAATCTACTAACTTGCTATCTTAAATATTTAGAAAGGAGATGCAACCCAAAGGCTATTTTGATAAACAACTGGACAAAATATGTACACTAACACTAAAAACTATTAAAGATTTCATTGAAAATGTTTGCCTAAATCGTACAATCTCATTTTATCATGTAGTCTGTTGCCACGACACTTACAGAAGCCAGTAATTAACTCAGGATTCCAGAGTGAAAGATAGAAAGCTCAATGAAAGCTATTGTCAATTTGATTCTATAGTAAAACGTTCAGGACTTTCTCAGAGAGAGCCTCAGCTAAGCCATATTACTTATCATTGCCATGCAGCAAATACCAACTCCAGTGTTGGACTGGAAATTTATAACTTACATAAGACAGTCAATGTCATTCAATCCATGATGTATTTATAAGTTAATGTATTTATAAGGATTCTGACACATAAATATTATTAAGCACTTTAACCTAATAAATAGTGCTCTTCCACAGCCATCTGTTCTATGGGACAATTACAAAATATGATTTTGGTCAAATGCTCAAACTACTTGCTATCTACAATACTAAAAAAAAATATGAAGAATTATTCAATTTTTAAAAAACTTTTTAAATTTCCATTTAAAAAATTCAACTACAGACTATAAAATAAGATACTGCAGGCCCAGTGCGATGGATCACGCTTGTAATCCCAGCACTTTGGGAGGCCGGGTTAGGCAGATCACCTTGAGGTCAGGAGTTCAGAATCAGCCGAACATGGCGAAACCCCGTCTTTACTAAAAATATAAAATTAGCCGAGCATGGTGGTACGTGCCTGTAGTCCCAGCAGCTCAGGAGGCTGAGGCAGGAGAATCACCTGAACCCGGGAGGTGGAGGTTGCGGTGAGCAGAGATCACACCATTGCACTCCAGCCTGGGCGACAAAAGCAAAACTCCATCTCAAAAATAAAATAAAAAATAAGATACTGCAAAAAGAGAAGAAAATTATATCACTGTTTTTTCAAAATGCAGTTAAAAAAGAATTCAATGCATCAAGAAAATCTTTCAAATGTGGCCACATCTCTCCTTAAAACAATATCCTATAACAACATCATGTCATCATGTTTTCCTATGTGTTCCAGGACACCAGGAAGTCTTCCTAGCATGCAATGGTGCTAGACTGATAATCTTTACACAAACTTCTATTACATTCATTAAATCTGCTCACTGGTTTATTCAACAAATATGTACCAGGAATTACGTTCCAATTTTAGTGTATGTGCTGCCAAAGCGAGCACATGTACCAGGCATTACGATGGTCCTGGAATTACAATGATGGGCAAAAGTCAGATGCAGGTCCTATCCCCATACAGTTTATAATCTGCTGGGAGCTTCTATCTAAGTCCTATTCAAAAACCCTCTAAGATCCCAACTACCTATGAAGCCCAAACTACTTAGCCTAGTGTTTAAGCTCCAAGAGGCCCAAATGTTCATTTTCAATCAATTTCTCATCTTTAACTCTTCCCCAATACACATCTCAAACTTCCCTACTGTAGATCCTTGAATGTGCAGTTACACGCACATGCTTGTCCTGACATAGCCATGTATCCAAATTCTATCTACCCTTTAAGGTTATTATGCCCAAAAATCAACTCGTCCTCAAGGCTCAGCCTCTCACATAAAACTCCAGTAATACCATGGGCCCCACATAGGAGACTTTACTTTCTACCCTTTAACAATGCTCTGTGTGTATATACTCTCTCTTCTACTAGGTTCTGAGCTCCTGAAATGCAAAAATGTTTCCAATTCATTTCTGTATTCTACATAGCACCTAAAATAATAGAGGCTCAAATAAATGGTGGTAATTCTAAATATAAGAAATCATGTAACAATGGTAACACCTTACCGTTTGGGGTTTGTTGTTTGTTGTTGTTATTGTTTTGTTTTGTTTTTGAGACAGGGTCTCAATCTGTCACCCAGGCTGGAGTGCAGTGGCACAATCTTGGCTCACTGTAGCCTTGACCTCCGAAGCCTAGCTGATCCTCCCACATGAGCCTCCCAAGTAGCTGGGACTGCAGGCACACGCCACTATGCCCAGCTAATTTTTTAATTTTTTTGTAGAGATAAGGCTTCACCATGTTGCCCAGGCTGGTCTCCAATACCTGGGCTCAACTGATACTCTGGCCTCAAGCGATCCTCCCACCTCAGCCTCCGAAAGTGCTGGGATTACAGGCGTGAGCCACCAAGCCCAACACACCTTACATGTATAAAGCTTGAAGGGTGCTTTTAAAGCATCCTCTCGTACACCATTTGATTGTTATGACATAATACTATAATTCTAAATGTGTGGGCAACTGAGCTGAATCAGTACTGACCCCAGGACATCCCATTAAAGTGTTTTTGCTATGTGCTAAGTTAGCACATTGTCTCAACCATACTGGGAATCAAATAGATATATCTGTGTATATTGGGACTAATCACTGATATTGCTGTATTTAAGTCATTTAACCTTTTTTTCACAAAATGGTATGTGCTTACTGGGGATGAGGGGGTACTTTTAAATCTGTTTCAGGGCTCCAACTGAGTTCTAGTTAATAAAGCCTTTACCATAGTGATGAGGATAACTGCTCCCAGCCACCTCTGCTACCCAAATCAAGAGCCCCTTTGTTATACTCTTCATGAAACCAATAAACGGCATGACAAATGTTTCCAAAATAGGAGTTATTGTCAACAAACGCTATTACCTCCCTAAACAATCAGAGTTGTATGTAATTTGTCCAAGGATGCCAAGGCAAGCAACCTTTTCGTTATAAATATCTACTAGGCTACTTTTAAGATAAGCTAAAAAATATAGTGCCTGAAATTTAACTGAGAGTATCGAAATTTTTCTCCTTTAGACTAAATATATTTCAAAGTGAATAACATGCCTTATTAAAAGTAGCAAACACCAAAGCAGCTTACATTTAAACAAGTTCAAGATTACCTGTGAAAAATAAAACAATCTTAATGAAGAGACCTCATGTTGAATAGGTTCACACTTCCCTTATTCAAGCAGTCTTTCCACAAATATTTACTTTTTTTCTCTTGTGTCAGAAAGTAAGCCTTCAAGATTAGCAAAAAGTCTTACTTCCCCCACGTGCTAGCAAAGTCAAAAATAAAAGTAATTTTTAAAAAAGAAAATATTTTGCATATGACATTATATAAATATGAGGAAAAGACTAACAACAGATTTATGAACACTCTAACCTTCCTTTTACCATCATATACATACAATCTTTTTCAACACAAAGCCACTTCATCTTTATCTAATTTTTATCTTTTTTTTTTTTTTTTTTAAATCAAGCCAGTTCTGCTGCATGATTAACTGTTTACTGCAGGGTATTATTCTACCACAATACCCTGGCAACCAGCTCATATTCAGTTACACTATCACAGCACAAAAAAAAGAGAGGGAGAGAGAGAACTAATTGTATGATCATGTGGATATTGTAGAAGCCCTTTAGTTCAATCCTAGATGGGCCTCAAGAGGATAATGCTTATTCTGTTGAACTCACTGCCAAATCCCAATATGAAACTGCCAGGATCAAAACAAGACCCAATTATACTAAGAGTGCATTTTATCAACGTCGGGTTTATAACAAATAGGTATGTGGCCCTGTACTTGTGCAAAATTGTTCAAAAATATTTACATAGATGGAGCTTAAAGAAAATTATGGAACACTTACTGGCCATAATGATATTCAATGAGAATCTCTTCAGGTAGCATCCAGACAGCAGCTCAGTCATGAAATGCTTAAAGCAACAGAATCCAATTTCATGATGTTCTATACTTAAAACAGATTTCGGCCAGGAGTGGCGGCTCACGCCTATAATCCCAGCGCTTTGGGAGGCCCAGGAGGGCAGATCACTTGAGGTCAGAAGTTTGAGACCAGCCTGGCCAACATGGTGAAACCCCATCTCTACTAAAAATACAAAAACTAGCCAGGTGTGGTGGCACACACCTTTAATCCCAGCTACTTGGGAGGCTGAGGCAGGGGAACTGCTCGAACTCCGGACGTGGAGGTTGCAGTGAGCAGAGACTGCACCACCATACTCCAGCCTGGGCAACAGAGTGAGACTCCATCTCAAAAAAAAAAAAAAAAACACCACAGATGCCTACACTATCTGGGTTTTTTAAGAGGAAAAAAATATTTACGTGTTATTTCTACCATTAAGGTTTTTTTTTTTTAACCTTAGGCCCAATGATACTTATAGCTGAGTATATCAAGTTTTAATTTCCATTTGCTCAGCCATCATAAAACAATACCAAGTGGAAACCATCTGTAATTACATTTTCAAACACTAATTCACAGAAAGTTAAGCAGAGAGATCTATACATCAGTTTAGTCTATTATACTTTAAGCAGATCCAGAGACCATAAAACAACTCAAAGGTAGCCTTCTGCTTCACCAATAGTTTTCCCATTCTTTCGCTATTTATCTCTGATTTTTCAATATCTGGGCTATGACAACAGATCTCTACGAAGAAAAAATAAGGGGTAAAGAAGATCTCTAACGATAGCAGATATGTAATTCCAGCTTATCAACTACCTCAATAAGATATAGGAATATCTCATTTTATTGCATTTCACATTGTTTCGCTTCACAGATGCTGCATTTTTTACAAATTTAAGGTGTGTAGCAACCCTGTGTCGAGCAAGCCTATCAGCGCCATTTTTCAAAAAGCATGTGCTCAATTCTTGTGTCTGTGTCACATTTTGGTAATTCTTGCAATATTTCAAACATTTTCATTATTATAATATCTGTTATGGTGGATCTGTGATCAGTGATCTTTGATGTTACTATTATATTGTTCAGGGGCACCACAAACCACACCCATATAAAACAGCAGACTGAACCAATTGATCACTATTGTATGTGTTCTGACTGCTCCAGGACTGGCTCCTCCCCATCTCTCTTATTCTCCTCAAGCCTAGTTGCTAGAAACAATATTAAAGTTAGGCCAATTAATAACCCTACAATGGCCATTAAATGTTCAAGTGAAAAGGAAGAACTGCCCATCTCTTACTTTATATCAAAAGTGAGAAATGATTAAGCTTAGTGAAGAAGTCATGTCGAAAGCCAAGATAGGCTGAAAACTAGTGCTTTTGAGCCAAGAAGCCAAGCTGTGAATGCAAAAAAAATAAATAAATAAAAAATTTAAAAAAATCTTGAAGGAAATTACAAGTGCTACTCCAGCAAACACATGAATGATAAGAAAGTGAAACAGGCTTATTGTTGATATGGAGAAAGTCTGGGTGGTCTGAAAGATCACACCAGCCACCATACTCCCTTAAGTCAAAGCCGAATCCAGAACAAGGCACAAACTCTCTTCAATTCTACCAAGACGGAGAGAGGTGAGGAAGCAAACCTGGGAGCTAGCAGAGGTTGGTTCATGAAGATTAGGGAAAGATTCCATCTCCCTTACATAAAGACACAAGGAGAAGCAGCAAGTGCTGATGAAGAAGCTGCAGCTTCTCTATTCAGAAGATCTTGCTAAGATCATTAATGAGGTGGCTACACTAAACAACAGGTTTTATTTTTTTCTTTTCTAGAGATAGGGTCTTACTGTGTCACTCAGGCTGGACTGCAGTGGCACAATCATAGCTCACTGCAACCCTGAACTCTTGGGCTCAAGTAATCCTCCCACCTTAGCCTCCCAAGTAGTTGAAACTACAAGGCGAACACCAACCATGCCCAACTACTGCTTTTCTTTTCTGCAGAGACAGGGTCCCACTGCAGAAGAGGACACTCGTTCATGACCCACTAAGATCCATTCCCCACTTCCTCTTTCCTAAGAAAACCCTAGTTTTATTTTAGGGAATTTTTATTTCATCTCCTATATAAAATAATGTGAACAGTACAACCAACCTAATGCCATTTATACACGTCAGCAATGAATTTGCTTATAAGCAGAAGGTGTTATTCCCTATAAATGTGTAGCTCTACTCCATTCAATGTTAATGTTCTAATATATAATTCTTTCTCGAATTATTTAGGCCCTAAATTCTACCAATATTTAAACCTTTTCTTCAATTTTCCACATTCAGATTCTTACCTCAGCCTCCCTAAGAAATAAAACTAAGAAAATATTTTGCTAAGCAAACAAAAAAACCCTTTACCTATATCACTATGCCATCTTAATGATCAACAACCTCTTTTTTAAATTTTTTTTTAACAGAGATGGTATCGCACTATGTTTCCCAGGCTGGTCTCAAAGTTCTGGGCTCAAGCGATCCTCCCTCCTCAGCCTCCCATAGTGCTGGGATTACAGGCATGAGCCATCACACCAGGCCACAACAGCCTCTTCTAAATCTTAAAGTTTTCTATGAAAGTACAAGCTTTTGAAATAAAATATACACAAATGGTGAGGGGGGCATCAAACATGGCTACACTTAAAAATGTTAGACTAAACACTTATCTACCAGTCACAATGTATTAATCATAAAAATTACTCACATTTTAAAAAACAATATACCAAATAACAGTTAATCTAGTGTTAAGACAATTTTCAACACTATTTGTTCCAATGGTGACTCTAACATCTCATTTAAGAGGATTTTACTCAGGTTTACTTTATATAAGTAGGTGATTTCATATCAACGCAAAACATTAGGCCATAATAACTATACTTACCAACAAACTGAAAATTATAACTTTTTTTTACCAATTCTTTAATTTTCATATCATTAGAACATAAGCCCTTTACATGCTACTTTAACACAATCTCAGTATGTCTCATTTTTCATAGAAAAAAACTAATTACATGGTTCAGTAAGTTGCCTGTGGTAACACATCGATTTTACTTACACTCAAAAGATAGACTTTAGCTTGTTCTCTCAATTTCAAGCATATTTACCTTAATAATTTTATCTAATTCACTAGATCTTTTTCAATTCTTCATCTGAAAGAACTGAGATTATGATCTTACCATAATTTTACAATATGAATGTATTATTTATCAGTCTTAATAAGTATGTTATTTTTCCTTTCAAGTATATAATTACACATTAAGTCTAATATTTAGTAAGTATGCACTAGACCCATTCAGATAATCACCCAATGAAAAACTTACTACTTTATAGCTTTGGCAAACTCATTCTTTCAAATAAAACAGAAAAACAGAACAGTAATGTAATTATTTAAAGAATCAGGAAATTTACATCAAAACTTGAATAATTCAGATCCAAGAAAAATAAAAGTATACTTTATAAACTACTTAGACCTAGCTGCCATTTATCACTGGATATGTGTTTTTCCTGAAAGTACTTGTTTCTCATGAAATACAAATGTATTCTTCATTATTATCCACAAAATAATGACAAATATGAAAGGTAAAGTAGCTGGGCGTGGTGGCTCACACCTGTAATCCCAGCACTTTGGGAGGCCAAGGCAGGAGCATCACTTGAGGTCAGGAGTTCAAGACCAGCCTGGCCAACATGCAGCCCTACTCAAAAAAAATACAAAAAATTAGCTGGGCATGGTGGCGAGCATCTATAGTCCTAGCTACTCGGGAGGCTGAGGCAGGAGAATCGCTTGAACCAGCGAGGCAGAGGCTGCCATGAGCCAAGATCACACCACTGCACTCCAGCCTGGGTGACAAAGTGAGACTCCGTCTCAACAACAATAAAAAAAAGTAAAATGAAACTTACTTTTCAGGTGCACTGTGATACCAATCTAAAATACTACAAATCTACAATGCTGCTGCAAAATGGTATCATTCATGTTTTCAAAATCACCAGAATTCCATACCTGAAAAATAAATAAATCCAAATACTGCAAATACAATTCCTTTCCAATTCAGTCAGGGATTAATTTCAATGACTCACAAATTTAATACCACTAAAAAAAAAGATAGAAAAACAGAGTGAAAATGAGTCAAAGATCAGATTTTCTCCTTGAAAGAAATTTTCAAAATGACAAGAGATAATCTTATTCCTGTCAATTTATATATAAAATAGTCATTACTTTTCCAGAAAGCAATTTTTTAATTTCAACTGATAATAAATTCATGTATAATACCGATGAAATTATTTTTACCATTTAGTTAAGGATAACCAGAAACCATCAAAAATCAATTGAAAGTTCACAGACTCTAAGATACACAGTAATATATTCCTACATACATTATTGTCTATGATTTTGGAAAATTCAATGTCAACACTTCTCTTTTTAGGTATGCTAAGCAATAGGGGCTATTCATTTTCATAGTGTGACATTGCCATTATAATTTGCCTTTGGTAGATCTTCAATATTTTATTCTCTTCTCCTCTTGAACTCTGCTGTGACTTAAAAATGCAGTCTTCATGTGATCTCAACTGATTTTCTAAAAGCAGGTGATTCCGGAATTTTTCGGTTGGTTTAAACAGGCTCAAAATTAGGCTCTTTTGAGGAAAGAGATATTCACACAATCTCAAAGTTTCATCCCAAATTTACTTAACAATTACAAAAGGAAAGGATATCTTTACACTGGAGAAATCTGGCAGACACTACCTTAATCAAGGGATCAAGCTCAGTACCATCAATATTGAGACAAACTGACATGACCTGTTTCTGATGTGATGCCGTGGAAAGGACACAACATCACCTACTCAGTATTCTTGCCAAATATGTTTATCCTGACTCTAACTGTAAGAAAACAATTAGACAAATTCAAAATGTGGGATATTTTACAGGACAACTAAACTGCTCCCTTCAAATAACATCAATATCATTGATCCCCAAGACAACTTCAGGAATATTCTAAATGAGAGGACACAAGCCATCTAAAAATGTGTGATCCTGATTGCATTCTGGATCAGAGAGAGAGAAAACTATAAAAGGTATTGCTAAGACAATTGGGAAATTTGAATATGGACTAAATATTAGATAATTTAATTATATCGATATTAAATTTCTTGAGCATGCCAAAAGTGCTCTGGTTACGTAAAAGAGTGCTTCACATTCTCATTCACAGGACTTAAATGCTGAAGTATTTAGGGGCAAAGGTCCGTGAAGTCTGAAAATTGCCTCAAATAGTTTAGGTGGAAAAAGAGGCATATGCATATAAGTGTGTAAATATATTTAAAAATAAAAAGCTAGGAGGAGTGGAGAAGCTAGGTTCTTGCTTGGAGTTATCTAAACAAAGGTTTTATCAATCCCACCATTTGGAATTGTAGACTGTAATCTATAGATACAGATTACAAAACTAAAAAAATCCAGCCTTCCCACACTCCTACAAAATGCCCACTTGCAATGAGTTCAATAAACAATAGTACTAGTATCTTAAATTATCTTACACCGTGGTCACTGTCAGAAAACAGATCCATTTTTCCAGGCTCTCTTATGTCTAATGTTTTTACAATCGCCCACACCTCCTGGCACAGGTGGCAGCACTCTTAAAAATAGAAAAAGCAATATTTATGTCTCTAAATTCACAACAAAGGGTAATAACTGCCAATCTACCCCTGCACTGACAATAAAACCAATTCAGAAGACTTCTGATACTGTTATAGGGACAATCATTTTTAGAGTTGTACAGATGTATCCTTAATTTATATGTCTAATAATCAAAAAAAGAGACAACATAAATTTTAAAATTGTAGACAGTGCATATTTAGTGCTAAATATTTGTGGTAGAAAATATACCCCAAAAATTGGCTATTTCTATCCCCTTGGGAATTAAAACCAGAAATAATATGCTTTATTTTAACTAGGCTTCAATATCCTCGCATTATCAAATCATTAAAAATTTTCACAAATTTATTATAAGTCAATCTGCCGGGAGTGCAATACTGCGCTACATTAGAACCTCATAAAATACGTTTCATTAACTGATTCGACAAACATTCTTAAGCACATACTAGGCTGAATCTGATACTTCTCCTTCTGGACCAGAGATTTGTAATGCTTTGGGGCAAGCAATTGGCAGTTCTGTGCTTGCTCTCTGTACTATTTTGGGTTTTCCAGATTGCATGTCTTTCCCACCACTAACTAACAGGCAGTGAATTGGCGAGAATATTGTGTTTATTTAAAAAGCATTTGTTGCCAGGCCCAGTGGCTCACGCCTGTAATCCCAGCACTTTGGGAGGCCGAGGCGGGCGGATCGATTGAGGTTGGGAGTTTGAGATCAACCTGGCCAACATGGTGAAACCCCATCTCTACTAAAAATACAAAAATTGGCCAGGTGTGGTGGCATACACCTGCAATCCCAGCTACTCAGAAGGCTGAGGCAGGAGAATCATTTGAACCCGGGAGGCAGAGGTTGCAGTGAGCCAAGATTGCATCACTGCACTCCAGCCTGGGCAACAGAGCAAGACTCTGTCTAAAGGAAAAAAAAAAAAAAAAAAAAGTAAGAAGTATTTGTTTGGTAGATTAGGAGAAGTCCACTCAGCACACTGTATTAATCTCTAAAACTTAAATTAAAATGTAGAATTTAGTCAAGCCAAAACAGCAAAGGTATAATAAAAGTGTTAAAGACTATTAATATGAATTATAGTATATAATCATTAGTATTTTTAATTTAAATACATCTGTATCCTGAACAGAATATTTAAGTTTATATTCCAATTTAGAATTTTAAAATCACAATATTATGGTTTCCCTGTACACATTAATCCTGTATTATTACTAAGTTAATCTTCCTAATTATATCGCTTTCCTGATCAGAAATGTTTAATTCCTCAAAATCTATCAAATTAAGTCTAAATGTCTTATCCTTGGTTCTGTGTACTCCATACTATGACCCACCTACTCAGCCTTTTAGAGGGGAGACTATTTCACTCCTACCCTAAGCCCCAGGTAACCTGTTCTTGCCACAATTCATTCGCAGCCTGTAGGTCTTTGCACAGTAGCAGTAGCAATAGTTACAATTATAGATTAACTGCTATATATGCTGCTCTAAGTACTTTTAATTTTTCTTAACCTCATAACCTAATTCACAGTGAGAAAACTGAGGCACAGTTTAAGTTAAATAATTAGATCAAGAATACACAGCTAGTGACTATGCAAGCATTCAAACCCAAGCAACCCAGAGCCCGTGCTCTGAATCACTACACCACACGCATTAACAATTCCCCAGACAGGAACCCAAGTGTTTATCCAAGTGACAAGGACAGATTATAAATGTGTTATAGCCTTCTCTCAGACTATTTCAGAGATATGTCAAGCAATTAAACAAAAAGTATAATATCATAAAACTAACTTGTGTGTGTACCCTGTAGGATTATTCTCATTTTATGGGATACTTTATACATTTAAATGCAAGATGGTTGCTTTGGTATTACATCTCACCGTGAGGTTTCTTGGTAGGACGCTATTTGGAGTACGCTATGAAGACAAAGGGAAATGCCAAATAACTAAAAAGCAATTTAAGAAACAATAAAATGCCTCTATTAAAAAAAATGTTAAATAATGGTAATGTCATGCTTAATTTAAGCCAGCTAACAGGATTCTGCTATTTATTTATTTATTTATTTATTTATTTATTGAGATGGAGTCTTGCTGTGTTGCCCAGCAGAGTGCTGTGGCGTGATCTCAGCCCACTGTAACCTCTGCCTCCCGGTTTCCAGCGACTGTCCTGTCTCAGCCTCTCCAGTAGCTGGGATTACAGGCACCCACCACCATGCCCAGCTAATTTTTGTTTATTTTTACTAGAGAGGGGGTTTCACTATGTTGGCCAGGCTGGTCTCCAACTCCTGAACTCAGGTGATCCTCCTGCCTAGGCCTCCCAAAGTGCAGGGATTACAGGCGTGAGCCACCGTGACCAGCCAGGAAATGCCAAATAACATAAATAAGCAGCAATGTAAGAAACAGTAAAATGTCCCTATTTAAAAAATGTTACAAATAATGGTAATCTCATGCTTAACATTAAAGCCTGCTAAAAGGATTCTGCTACTATTTATTTATTTTATTTTTTGAGACAGGTGTCACTTTGTTGCCCAGGATGGAGTGCAGTGGCATTATCTCTGCTCACTGCAACCTTGGCCTCCTGGGTTTAAGTGATCCTCCAGCCCCAGTCACCCGAGTAGTTGGAATTACAGGTGCACGTCACCACACCTGGCTAATTTTTTTTTTTTATTTTTTGTAAACACAGGGTTTCACCATATTGGTCAGGCTGGTCTCAAATTCCTGGCCTCAAGCATTTGGGCCCCCTCAGCCTCCCAAAGTGTTGGGATAACCAGCGTGAGCCACCATGCTCCGCCTATAATTTATTTTACCCAAAATAAAATGACTCAAATATATTAGAGAATGAAATAGATTCTAAAATATCTCCACTTTGTATGGCTACCAATTAAAATATTCTCTTTGTATCCTTCAGTTTTTCATGACTGCTATCGTATTTCCCCTTATTTGAAACAAAGTTGTCTTTATGACTTATTTTTCTAATTAAGGCTAGATATTTTCTGTTATTAGGTTGAACCATACATTACCTTTTTCAACTACTTTTACCTACAAAAATGGACACTTCATATAAATGAATCTAAAAACTTGCTCAAAATTCATATTAAAAAGAGGAGACGCACTCAATGAAATTATAATTATTCCATTACTGTAATACTTTCCTGATAGAATACAAAATATAAACAGTTTATACCACTATCAAACTCCAAAGAAAAGTAATCATTCCCAAGAGAAAATATTCACAATACTACATTTAATTAGAAAATTAGAAAAACTGTATGGTACCAATTTCATTTACACATAAAACATCTAAAACTCTTTCAGACTTCAGTATTTTTATTTCTTTGTTCTCTCCATATGATGACTGTTTTCCTAATTTTCTAACTTAAATGTAGTGTTTCTGTAATTTTAAAAATATCTAAAAATAATTCAATCTTTGCTTAACTCTTTACCAAAAAATACTTAAGATATTAATTTACACATGCAATCTAAAGCAACTATCCCAAAATTTAAATGCCCTACTCCTTTTTGTTAACTCAGTAACAAAGCCCATGAAAAATAACACAATAATTTAATAAGCTATTTCTAAGAACACTGACGATTTTCTCCGTTGGCATAGATAAATAAATTTATTCTATATTATCAACTAAATAACCCTCATTAGCAGTTGGGTTTGGTTTCCTCATCATTACAAAATTATATGTACCACACTAACAAAGAGCAGACCAAAAAGCTAAAACGTAAGAGATTAATACAGAGAAACAGAAGATGACAGTCAGAAACAATCATGAAAGATAAGAAAGACACTTTTTAAAAAGCTTTATACCTCTCTACTACATAGGGAAAAAAAGTAAAAATATGTTTTCATATTTTAATGGACAAACAAAAATGTTGTAATTATCTTCTAGGTGACATCTTATTTTTAAAATTCTGATAAACAGAATCCAGATGTTCTGAAACTCTAATTTTACCTAAGTTAACTGCTAACTACATAGAACAGGCTTTGAGATGAATGTTAAGTTCTGGGACTTTGCTGATTACCCAGCTAAGCAAGCAATGTCACCCACAATGGTTCTCTTATTTATAGACCAAATACCCTAAAAAATATCAGGATAAAGGTTTGAGCTGAACAGACAAATGGACCATAAAGTAAACAGTTCAATTAGTCCATTGTGGTTTACCGCCCTCTGGCTGCTGTGGCAGGAGATATCACAGATAAAAAATGGCTGCCAAGAAAAACTAGCAAGGTGTCAAGCAAAAGTTGGCAGGAAATCCTTCAGGCAAATGTAAAAGCTTTAGAACAGAGCCTCGAACATACATTACAGTTAGTTTTACTCCTTCCTTTAAAAAAAAAAAACATTAAAAACATCAAGTAACAAAACATTTCAAACACGATCTGAAATTTTTCAGACACAGATTAACACAATATAGTTTGGAGATAATAAAAGATGGTTCTAAGAGACTAAGTCAAAAAGAGTTAATACCCTAACTAAAGATTAGAATTAGTCTTGCTTGAGAAAATCCCTTTGCATACTAAATAGAAACACTTAGATAAAAAGGTAAAAATTTTTACCAGAAATTCAAAGACAACTGATAAAAGTTCCTGCTCATAAAACTGTGGTAAATATATAAAGCAGCACAGAAAAATGAAACTCTTACATTAATTCAGTTTCCAGATATCAGATGCAATCTGAAGCTAAAAATCAGGCAACACCGGAGCCAATGTTTCCTGGAATCACCAAATTACATGAAAAACAGAAATAAAAGCAAAAGAAAATTTGCTACACCCAATTCAGACCAGATCCCATATATTCATCTTTCCTCAAAATACTATTCAATGTAATCTCACAATTTTGTCCAATTAGGCTCAAAACTAAATTTCTGTATCACTCTCCAATTTTCCACCAAAGAGTTCAGCTGGCAGTGAACCATAACAACCACAGTCCAAGGAAAAAAACAGTAACTGTTCAATTCACTGTCTTGTTAGTTACTCACAATTCACTATCATTTAAAAACAGTGGATCTTAGCCTGGTTTCCACCCCACCGCACCCAGGAGACACAATACTCTCATTTAACAGCAGCGGTTCACAAGGTTCTGATTCTCAGCATAACTGGAAAAGGACAAGAGTTAGGAAAAAAAAACAGGGATGGGAGGAAGAGGGGTGAGAATGTTCCTTTTGAGAGAGACATCCATGAAACACTTAAGATCGTTCTTTTAGACAAGTCTTAATAATCTGTTTGAAATTTATCAATGTTCAAAAAAATATGATGCAAATAATTTTTAAGAAAAAAACAGAAACCTTACCCTGCAGTTCATGATGTATTACACCCACTAGGTTGGGTTCATCTCCCCACCAGAATATCCATAACTCTTTGCAATCTGGTTTGACATCACGACGCCATACACAAAGCAGGTTAGCTTGCAGACAGCGGATGAAACTTAACAGAATTGGATCATCTTGGGCTGGGGCTGAAATTATGGGTCCACAGTCCCCATGCCCTCCAAAATTGTACCTACGCCATTTGATTCCCGTGAGTTCAGCCTGGAAAAAGACAAAAAATTGTAATCGTTTTCTCATTTTACTTACAGACCACTAAAAACAGTCTTCCATACAGAAAAGCAATTGTGCTAAAATAAATATTTACACGAAACTTCATATCATAAGATTCCTCCCAGTGAAGAATGTATGTCAATCTTCTCGAATTTTAAGGTGGGAGAAACTTTCTATCAAGATTTCTACATAGCTCTTTACATTAAATACTAAAATAAAACAAGCTGATAATCATTATTTCCTGTTGAATAATTTAATTTGTCTAAACACTTACTATAAAGTCTCTATGCAGAAAACTATTTTCTATGTTATCATTCAATATTCAACTCACAAATTATATTTAGAAATCAAGTAAGATTTTAAAAATAAGTTTGTATATATGAAATAATTTCTTTCAAATAATTTCTTCCCATCCACAAGCCACAGTTTAAGTCCTTTTTTAATTAGGGAAGCAGTTAGCATGAAGTACGAGAGTGTTTCATCATGAATGCCAAAAGTCTATTTAGGTAGAAGCAATTAAGAAAACTGATACAAAGTTATCAGCAATTTATTCATGTTTTTTAACATGTAGCAAACAGAAAAGCTTTGCTTCTATAACAATTCCCTAATGTAGTTTGGTATTTTATTTTTTACACACATTGTAAAACATGAGAACTTGCAACCAGCAGAGAACAAATACTGTATCTTTGATCCATTACATACGTTTATATTTCAAGATGTCTTAAATCTTAAGTTAAGAGCTAAACTTCAAAGAGGTTTCAACACAAGCGAAAGCTAAATTTCTTAAAGTTATAAACTACAGCTATATATTGAAAACTAATAGTAAAACAGATTCATAATTTAATTCTGTACCAAACAGCCCAGGTGGCCCTTGCATTGAATCCTTACTCACGCATCTCCTTCCCCACAAGGTCAGTTATTTTTGTTAGCAAGTTGTTTGCAAAAATAACATGTACCACTAGGTAGAAAACAGCCATATCTTCTACTAACATAATTGAAACATATTAAAAGTGCTAAAGCAATCAATCACTATAATGACCACATTTAAGAAAAAGAAAAATCACCTTTCATTTAATCCAAATTAAAAAGGTTTTGCTTCAGGCTGAGCACGGTGGTTCACGCCTGTAATCCCAGCACTTTGGGAGGCCTAGGCGGGCAGATCATGAGGTCAGGAGTTCGAGACCAGCCTGACCAACATGCTGAAACCCCGTCTCCACTAAAAATACCAAAATTAGCCGGGCGTGGTGGCGTGTGCCTGTAATCTCAGCTACTCAGGAGGCTGAGGCACAAGAATTGCTTGAACTTGGAAGGCGGAGGTTGCAGTGAGCCGAGATCGTGCCACGGCACTCCAGCCTGAGTGACATGCCACAGCACTCCAGCCAGGGTGACAGAGTGAGACTCTGTTTCAAAAAACAAAAACAAACAAACAACAAAAAAAAAGGTTTTGCTTCAAAAAAGTTACAAAGATAATATACAAACTAAAAATATCTAAAAATCAGTAACTTATATTTTACGCTGAGATACGCAAATCTAAATTTTTAATGAATATGTTTAGTAAAAAGCTGGCACTGGCATCATTTAGGGTTTCCCTATATGTTACTTGGTTTCCTCTAAATATAAAAGCACTACATGGCCAATATAAAAAGTTCAGAAGTAATACACCATAATCACATTATAATAATCACTAGCATCCTACTGTATATGTCCTTCCTCTTTTTCTGTACATATACTTTTTAAAGTTGGAACCATATTGCATGATTTATATTTTTCACTTATTTTTATATATTACTAATTATTCTTCAAAATACACTTTTAATCTTTGCATAATATTCTATTCATTGGAAAAAATATAATTTAGCCATCCCATACCAACTGGACAATCTTCCATTTTATTTCCACTACTGTAATTACTATAATTGGTTAACATCCTTGAACACTGTTATTTTCCTGATTATTTCCTTTAAAGAGATTGCTTGATACTGAATTACCAAAGAATATATCAAGACTCATGATGAGTGCTACCACGTTACTGTTCAATTAATAGTCTCCCCAATACAAATAGCCACCTCCCAAATTGCATATCTTTTAAAATATCGGCCAATTGAATAGAACGGTATGTACTTGTATTAATACATAGTCCTTGTTCTGCTAGGAGGAAATCAGTATGCGGTATCACATCTTTGATCAGATGGGGCCACCATTCCTGGGTTTGAATCCCAGCTCTGCACTAACTCATTGGTTAAATGAGTCAGTATACATATGAAGCATTTATAAAAGACAGTGTCTGGGACATAGCAAAAACTGTAAATGATATTTTCATTATACCACTAGTAGTAGTACTATTTCTTTCACTTTGAGTTGTCTGTTCATACCCTTTGTCCATTTTTCTATCTTACAAGTTCCTTTTTTTTTTTCTGAGATGGAGCCTCGCTCTGTCACCCAGGTTGGAGTGCAGCAGTGCAACACTGGCCTCCCAGGTTCAGGCAATTCTCATGCCTCAGCCTCCTGAGTAGCTGGGACTACATGCGTGCACCACCACACCTGGCTAATTTTTGTATTTTTAGTAGAAACGGGGTTTCATCATGCTGGCCAGGCTGGTCTCAAACTCCTAACCTCAAGCGGTCCACCCACCTCGGCCTCCCAAAGTGCTGGGATTATACAGGTATGAGCCACTGCGCCTGGCCAAGTTCCTTTGTTTCTTCAAATAAAAGCAATGTGTATGTTTTAATCAGAAACCCTGACATCAATCTATAAACATCAAAGAAGGAAACAAAAATAAAAAGAAGTTGAAATCCAAAAAGGTAAGCAGAAGATTTATTTTATTTTTTTTTTTTTGGAGACGGAGTCTCGCCCTGTCACCCAGGCTGCAGTGCAGTGGCGCGATCTCGGCTCACAGCAAGTTCCGCCTCCTGGGTTCACACCATTCTCCTGCCTCAGCCTCCCGAGTAGCTGGGACTGACTACAGGCGCCCGCCACCGCGCCCGGCTAATTTTTTGTATTTTTAGTAGAGACGGGGGGGTTTCACTGTGGTCTCGATCTCCTGACCTCGTGACCCGCCCACCTCCGCCTCCCAAAGTGCTGGGATTACAGGCGCGAGCCACCACGCCCGGACATCAAGGTGTATGTTTTAATCAGAAACCCTAACATCAATCTTTAAACATCAAAGAAGGAAACAAAAATAAAAAGAAGTTGAAATCCAAAAAGGTAAGCAGAAGACTAACTTCTTTTATCACCTAAGCTAAAGAAAGTATTCTGTGCCTAAGAGCCTTGTGGATGAGGGAAGAGAAAGAAGGT
The DNA here is from genome assembly GCF_000001405.40 of Homo sapiens. Taxonomy (NCBI): domain Eukaryota; kingdom Metazoa; phylum Chordata; class Mammalia; order Primates; family Hominidae; genus Homo; species Homo sapiens. The sequence continues at coordinate 116,241,009 of NC_000012.12, forward strand.
AATAAAAACACACCAATAGGCCAGGCGCAGTGGCTCACGCCTGTAATCCCAGCATTTTGGGAGGCAGAGGCGGGCGGATCACAAGGTCAAAAGATGGAGACCATCCTGGCCAACATGGTGAAATCCCATCTCTACTAAAAATACAAAAATTAGCGGGGCGTGGTGGTGCACCTGTAATCCCAGCTACTTGGGAGGCTGAAGCAGGAGAATCGCTTGAACCCGGGAGGCAGAGGTTGTAGTGAGCCGAAATTGAGCCACTGCACTCCAGCCTGGCAACACAATGAGGCTCCGTCTCTTTAAAAAAAAAACAAAAAACAAAAAAACAAAAAAAAAACACACACACACACACACACAATAAATATGAATCACTAATAACATCTAATAACATTAACCTTATTTAAAGTGTTAGAAAATTAATATCAGAGCTTTAAACATCAGATGAGTCAGTCCCCATGAAAATCTATGCACGGTAATTTACTCACTACAACACTTTCACCTGTAATATCCGGCAGTAGAGCAGACAAAATATTTGGCATTGTTTCAGGAGAATGGTTTCCTAATCCTAGTACATCCACTAACTTCCTATCAGTACATCTATGCTCTCAGTGGCAAAGGGAAGCTGCTACCACCTAATCTGTTTTTTACAAAGTTGTTCTAGCAAGTGATATCTTTCTTACAAATGCAAGTGACACAACAGCAACGCTACAAACTTAAACACCTGGTAACTAATTCAGGTAAAACAGCTCCTTTAAAGTTAAAAACTAAATATCATTATATTGGTCTTCATTGAAAAATGTTACAATGAAACACTAATCAAGCCTAAAAGAGATAACTAAGTATAAAATGGGTGTTCGAAGATTTAGCTTTAAATTTTGAGTTAATGTTTGGTAAGAGAAAAGACAGCTTAATGATACTGAAATAGTTTGTCCAAGAAAAAAAATTCCCATCGTGGATGTTTATTCAATTAAGAGTAAAATGTCTTCATAGACCATGATCATATTTATAGTTTAAAAATTAAGTGCACTCCAAGTTCTTTTGTCTTTTTTTTTTTTTTTTTTTTTGAGATGGAGTCTTGCTCTGTTGCCCAGGCTGGAGTGAAGTGGTATGATCTTGGCAACCTCCCCCTCCCAGGTGCAAGCCATTCTCCTGCCTCAGCCTCCCAAGTAGGTGGGATTACAGGTGCCCGCCACCACACCCAGCTAATTTTTCTATTTTTAGTAGAGACAGGGTTTCACCATGTTGGCCAGGCTGGGCTCGAACTCCTGACCTCAGGTGATACGCTTGCCTTGGCCTCCCAAAGTGCTGGGATTACAGGCGTGAGCCATTGTGCCCAGCCATACTGTCTCAATTTCTGACTAACGTTTATCTCTACAACACAAAATTCTTTACCTAATGATTTCAAAATTTTAAAGCAAACCTTTAAAATAATTATAGATTCAAAATTATCCCCAAACACAATTATTTCTCACTGTCAAAAAGACAATCCTTAATTAAATCTAAGTTTTAAACTACATGGTTTCTAAAATATAGAACCAAAACGATGAAATTAAAATATACAAAGAAGGAAACCTATATGCACATTATGTATAATAACCACCAACATCATTATTTACCAAGCATCTACTTACTACCAGGCACCATACTAGAGTTTTCATATATTATTTCTAATACCGAGCACCATACTAGTGACTTCATATATAATTTATAAACTTCACAACAGACAGCTAAAGAAATTAGGACTCAGAAAGGTTGAATAATTCTCCCAGAGCCACACAGGTAGCAAATGGCAGATCCCAAATATAACTAGATTTAAGCTGTAACTGAATTTAAAGTATAAATTCTTTCCATTCTGCCATGCTGCTTCATAAGGCAAATGGTAAAAATTAGCCCTAGAGGATTATAAAATAGTACAAAGAAACTGTCATCAACTCAATTTAGCAATGACTAGAGCTCATGGCCATACTTTCTAATTTAAGAAAGTTCATAAATCTTTCTTTAGTCTTCCTGAGGTATTAAGAAAACTGGTATAAGAGTGCCCACGTATCATCCCATGAATAGACTTTTATTTCACTCAGATAATTATATGCCTTCTTTTACATGTTATCACTATAAGATGGTATCTACATAAACTAATTCTTAGATAATATGTACAACGAACCAACAAAATCACTATTCTGATAGCAAGACAGGCTGGAAGAAAATCTGCTCAGCAATGGCTGGCATGTGGTATAGGGGTAGTCAGGGTTCTCAGAAAATTGAACTTAACCCATTTATGCAGGAGGATGCAAATTTTTTTGTGAAAAATCAGACCTTGGCAATGACCTTGAGCAGTAGGATATAAATAACTCCCACAAGTTTAGTGTTCCAATAATGGAACATTAGGCATAAATGGGTTAAGTGGCAGATACTCCCCTGGCCTAAACAAACAGCTACTACAGTCAGTTCCAAACAGTTCTAATTAAATAGATTACAACAAAACAGGGATAAATGCACTTCCTAACTGACATGAATGTGATTCAAAGAAAATTTATATTGATTCCTAGTGTCCTATTCTTCACATACAATATACAGGAAATGAGATTATTTATTTGCAGTGACCCACAGCAACTAGATCCCTTGTGACCAACAGCACATACTTGCAATATGGCTCCTCAGAGTTAAAACCACATTCAGTGGTCAAGGAACACAGTAAAATCAAGAGACGTTGATTAGAATGAACCCATGGTGTAGTATCATGGAAAGAACACTGGCTGGAAATTAGGAGGTCTAGGTCCTAAGGCCTGGTTTTTCAACCATTTACCTATGTGATGTTAGGAAATCCACTGTACCTCAAGGCACCTCAGATTCAGGACCTATAAAGTGATAGGGTTGACCTAGATACTATAAATCAGTTCAAGTCTCCTGGCCCAGGCTAATTACATCCCACTCATAAAAGCAACTTGTAAATGAGATGGAACCCTTATTACCCATCAAGAACAGAAAAGCTGCCAGAAGATAGTCAACATTTCAGGAAACTATTGAAAGAGTCCTCAGAAGTACAAACCAATTAGTTTAACGTATCCATCCTGGGCAGGATTCTAGGCTGGTGTATAGAAAAGGCAGCTGTGATCATTTGAGGCTGACAAGCATGCATTAGGAAATTCCAAGTCGGCCTCACCTCACTTCCTCCAATGATAGGGTTACCACTGCAGTAGAGTAGGTTAATACAGTAAACATATTAAGTCACCTCTCAACTCAGAGGAAGGAAAAAAGTCACATGTAATAGAAAACTTCTGTTAAAACATAACTAATCAACTCCCTGTAAAGACAGCAAAATAAACATACACATCTGCTTTTGCTCTCTCCTAAACCCCTGTAAGACATCAAGAAAAACATTTGTTTCATTGTTTTATTTCATTAAATTATATAATTACAACGGCAGGTGGAACAAGAGAGGATATAGCATCAAAATTTTGAAGGCTAAGAAGCAGATGCTCTGATAAGGAGATTTACAATACGTAAGAAAACTGAATCCTAAACATGAAGAAAGAGATACAACCCAATTGACACAGAATCCCCTCAGCCTCAGGAATTAAATACAGGTATTTTGGAAGTAGGGTTGAAAGGCAGAGAGGAGATTAAATAAGAACAACTGGTTAAAAGCCTGCTTAAAAGGCGCTCAGCTGGGTGCAGTGGCTCACGCCTGTAATTCCAACACTTTGGCAGGCCCACAGCAGAAGGATCACTTGAACTCAGAAGTTCTAGACCAGCCTAAGCAACATAGTGAGACCTCAACTCTACAAAAAATTAAAAAATAAGCCAAGCATGGCGCTGCTTGCCTGTAGTCCCAGCTACTAGGGACGCTAAAGTGAGCGGGTCTCTTGAGCCTGGGAGGCTGAGGCTGCAGTGAGCTGTGATCACACCACTGTACTCCAGCCTGGGCAACAGAGTGAGACCCAATCACAAAATAAAATTAAAAGAAAAGAAAATAAAATAAGAAGGCACTCAGATGCCCAGGTACCTTCTCTACTGCACAAAGCTGAACTACTGTCCCTTCTTCACCCCAGCAAATAAATGCAAATGTATTCTCTGGAGACAGTAAACAGAGGGTACCTGGACTGCAGGACACAGGCAAACTGAAGGCACGGAACCAGAGTGAAAACAGGGCATTTGGTGAAATATATAGAATGAAGGCCAAGGACCACCCCCTCCCTACCACTGCCCTCTAAGCACCCAGAAAACTAGCAGCCAGTCTTCATCCCTCAGAAAGGAATTTGGAAAAGTCTTCTCTGAGAAATCTTAGCTCCACAGAAAAGACCTCAAGATACTGAGATCAGAGAGAGGTTCCCCAACTAAAGAGCCCACCCAGATCAGTGAGGCGCACAGTTAAGCAAATGTCGGTCACATGCTCAGAAATTCCAAGCAGATTCTTAGTCCACCATTCCTAAACATGAACATACAACCAAGAATTGCTAAATAATTAAGGAAAACCACTGAGGAATTACAGAAACAAAAACAAATGAAAAAGCAGCTAGAAGGGAAGACAACATTGGGAGAAGAAAACTTTAAAAACACCAAGAATATTCTCAACAAAATAAAATGGTGCAACCATTTAAAAACAACAGGATGCTATTTCAGGAGAGAATTTTTTAAAAGCTCTTGGAAATTTTTAAATAATGATTCCAGAAATGATAAAACTTAGTAAAATGTTTAGAAGATAAAGTTTAGGAAATCTCCCAGAAAGTGAAACAAATAAACAAAAATGGAAAATGGGGGAAAGCTGAAAATCCAAATACGAGGAAGCTGAAATCCAAATACAAGAGCTTTCAGAAAGAGAAAATACAGAAAATAAAGAGGAAATGACCAACAAAACAATTCATAACAATTTCCCAGAAAAACAGAATGTGAATTTCTAGATTGAAAGAGCTCTCTGAGTGCTCAGAACAATGGATTAAGAAAGACTCGCGGAAGGCATATCACTGTAAACTTTCAGCACACTGCAGACTAAGAGAAAATCCTCCAAGTTTCCATATAATAAAAAGAGGTCACATATCCAAAATCAGGATTTCTAACTGCTCAACAGCAATACCACAAGCAAGAAGGCAAAGGTGCAATAACTCCAAAATGCTAAAGAATTATTTCCAAACTAAATATTAAATGGCTATGCCAGCCTAAACTTTCTATCAAATATGTGAGAATAAACGCATTTTTAGACATGCAAAAAAAAAAAAAAAGCACCCTTTCTCAGGAAGCTACTGGGTGTGTACTTACCAAAAGGAGGGAATACACCAAGAAGTCTGAAGATTCAGGAAACAGACCTGAGAGGGAATAAAATAAATCCCTAAAATCATAACGAATGATGACTCCAGGATGCCAACTATACACCAGCGCAGAGGGCAACCAATCCAGATTATGACAGGTCCGTAAAGACTTCTTCAGGAAGGTGAAACTAATAAAACACCTGATACATCTGAGAGTCTTAAAGGGGTTTCATACAATAGGCAAAAACTGTGGGGATGAGTTAAGTTTTAGAAAAGTAAGCAGGCTGGGCCCTGTGGCTCATGTCTGTAATGCCAGCACTTTAGGAGGCCAAGGCAGAAGGACGACTTGACCTATTTGAGACCAGCCTGGGCAAGACAGCAAGACCTTGTCTCTATATACAGACTGACAGACACAGCTGAAGCATTGTGGCACACATATGTAGTCCCAGCTACTCAGGAGGCTCAAGCAGAAGGATCACCTGAGCTAAGGAGTTAGAGGTGGTGGCGGGCTGGGGAGGGAGGTGGGGAAGGGAGGGACAGGAGGGGAGGGGAGGGAGGTGGGGAGGGGAAGGGAGCGAGGTGTGGAGGGGAGGGAGAGGAGGGAGGTGGGGAGGTGGGGAGAGGAGGGGAGGGAGGTGGGGAGGTGGGGAGGCGGGAAGAAGAGGGGAGTGGGGAGAGGAGGGGAGGGAAGGAAGGGAGGGAGGGAGAGAGGAAATTTTTAAAAGGGCATCTGCTTTGTAGGAGGCAGAAAGAATGAGTTAAACCCTCCTCTTCGATAGTGGAAGATATAGAATTGAAAAATCTAAAAGTAACTATGACCTCAGTATTTAGAAACATTTAAGTAAGAACCAAGATAATCAACAAAAGAGGGTGAGTGTTTGCTTCTAAAGAAGGTAAAATAGGGGCAGGAGCAGAATACTGTTCTTATAAACCTTGTAGACCTATCTGATTCTTTAATTGAATTCTGTAAGAGTATATAGCTCTGCTTTAAAAAAAAAAAGGAAATTTAAACAAAATTAATCAAAATGGGGTAATAGAATGTAAAGCTACTAATATTGAGAACTCACTTATACTACTTTATAGACTTATTCTAGACAAATTCCTAAACTGAAGAACAATATCCCATAAATTGTGCTGCAAAAGCCAAAAGGTTATTTAACCATGTGTTAAAATAACGTGTTGTTGTTGACTGTTTCTTTTCTCCATTTTAGACTATTAAAACCCAGCTGGACAGAGACATCTTTCTAGCTGCATGCTCCATCCCATCTGGCTCTGCTCAAATTCTTCTCAGCCATAGCTATGTTGCTGGCCAAGGATTCCCTGTGTAGATGGGCTGCTGACGAGACACTGGGCCTCCCATCTGACTGGTTATTTCCATGTTATGAGAAATACAATGTGGTATTCCTCCATACAATGAGGTCATATATAAAAGATGCTAACGTATATATATATACACACACATATGCATATGTGCTGATTCATAAATGTTTTCCTCAAGTGTCATTTTCTTTTCACTGCTCAGTTTACCAACATTAACTAAAAAGTATAAAGATTTTTTAAAAGTTGGTTTATAGCGTAAGTATAAGGGCTCAGAGGTTTTATTTGACAATAAGTTTACTACAATTAAACAATGTGAAGTAGATATTTAAAAGTAGCTGCCATCTTAAGCTACATTAATAAAGGTAAGAAATCTTGATCCTATTCAACAGATCTAAATTATCAGTCATTATTCAGTACTGCTTTCAGCTCCTAGCTCCA